>NC_000020.11:7339062-7490577 GCF_000001405.40 Homo sapiens | reverse complement strand
CTGAATTAATGACCTCAGTCTTGGTAAAAATCAACCTTTGACACAACAATAAACTTACAAAGAAATTGTGCATGCATAACTATCTTTATCCCACATTTAAGGAAATATTAGTCATAGGCAGTTGGCTGAGACATTGGGCATCATTAGGTCTTACTTAGTTACTGTTAGGTCTAAATCCACATGGACTGTATGTCAAGGCATCAAAGAGACCTGTCTCTGTGCATAGCTAATAGAAGGTTATCATCAGACATTAAGACAATCAAATCTCCTCTAAAAGTTAAGTATGCAAATTGTACTATCTTCCTCTTTTTTCCCTTACCATGTTTTCCTTTTATTTTCCTTAAACGAAATCCCCAAAACCTATCTTTAGAAAGTACACTGCAATAGGCCAGGTGTGGTGGCTCAGGCCTGTAATCCCAGCACTTTGGGAGGCAGAGGCGGGCGGATTACGAGGTCAGCGAATCGAAACCATCCTGGCTAACATGGTGAAACCCCGTCTCTACTAAAAATACCAAAAATTTGCCAGGTGCAGTGGCGGGCGCCTGTAGTCCCAGCTACTCGGAAGGCTGAGGCAGGAGAATGGCGCGAACCCCGGAGGCGGAACTTGCAGTGAGCCGAGATCGCGCCACTGCACTCCAGCCTCGGCGACAGAGCAAGATTCCGTCTCAAAAAAAAAAAAAAAAAAAGAAAAAAGAAAGAACGTACACCGCAATAATTAATTACAACATGTCATTCCTGTGAAGCACAAAAATACTGAATAGTTGCAGAGCACTTTATTTACTTTACCCAGAAAATCTTTCAATGACATTTAAATAATTGCTTGTTTACACTTTGCAGAGAATGGGAAGTTATAAACTATATGCAAGGTACTAAATCTTTTTATTGAAAATCATTCAATCCTGTGCTTGATAAATTTGGTAAAATGTTTGCTAACAGTTATCCATCAAAATTATTCAAATTATCCTTAATCTAAAGGTTAAATTTTTTTTATCAGCCACAGGTCATAATGTAATTCATTTGACAACATTGTGAAAAGTACAGAGAGATCAAGCTTTATTATCTCAGTTTTCTAGAAGGAAAAGTGAAGCTATAAAAGATATATGTCACAGCTAATGTTGGAGATGGAAATAGGTTCTGGTTTCACTCACATTTTACCATGTGACATATATAATATATATCTGGCTGGATTTGATTTCTGCTATCTTTCTTAATTGAGGTAATTATTTTTTTAGTGGCACCCAAATAAAAGCACTTAATAATAAATACTTTTTTAAAAAAAAGATAGTCATTAAGCTCTTTGAATGTCAGTTTTCCTTCTGCAAAGTGAGAATGATGTAGAATATAGCGTCTAAGTTTGAATATATTTTAAAATCCATGAGGAATTAAGTCCTCTTGGTCAATTCTAGATTTTAAGCACCTAGAATGTTTTTCTGGCATGTAGATTGTGCACAGTAATTATTTGTTTAATTAAACTGAACTGAAGTGAATGGTTCTTTCCAACTCCATGTTTCGTTGTTCCTGATCATTTTAAAACAATGGCACTCTTTGACTGATGGTACATGCATGATCAATCCCTGAAGCAACAGAAAAGAGAACAACCCCAAAGATGAAGTGATGCCTCCCTTTGACATGCAGTTGTGTAGCTAAAATGATGGAGAAATTTGTGAATCTGAGTCCCACAATAGTACCTGAGATTTACTGACTTTTCCGAAGAATAAAACCAGGGTAAACAATCTAGAATAAAGTCCAGCAAAGATCTCCAGCAGAGATTAATTCTGTCCCTGGAAGACTGACTGACAATGTCTCAGGAGGTTTACAGTAATGCCATTAAAGGTGGAGCCACTGGGCTTTCTCTGAGGAGTCTGTAAAGGAATTACCTTGTTTCTCTTTGTGCAGTTTGATAAGCTGAGGGAAAAAATGATAATGGCTCCCTAGAACATTTGACTCACGGAAGGAGGTAAATCTTAATGACTTCCCAATGGACTAACTTGTTTGTTCACAGTTGATTTTCCTCAACTTCCATTTCAAGTGTAGCTAGAACAAGTTACATTGGAAATGTCTTCTTCAGGCTTTGATTTGTTCTGTAGCTACTTAACCTTTCCTCTCCCAAATTCTTATAGCAGTGATGAAAACATGAACATGGTTTAATTCATATAAATATTGATAAATTTGTAAGTTGATAAAATTATTTTCTCTGTGCCAGTACTTTAGAAAAATAGAGAAATTTAAATAAATCTTATATCTATAACCAAGTTGGTGTTATGAAACCCAACTAGAGTCCATTCGCCCTATGGAGTAAGACCAGATAACCACACGAAGGTTTTTAGTGAAGAAAGAAGGGTGTTTATTTGCAGGGAGCCCAGTAAGGAGGACTAGGCTTCTAATGCTTAAGATTTGACCTCCCTGATGGCATACAAGCAAAGGTTTTTAAAGACAAGGGTAAATTTTAGGAAAGCAGAAGTTATAGACAAAATTATAAATCAATGAACGAAGGTTACGTATTGCTTTTGGCTTAACAGGGTAGAATGTCTTGAAGTAGGAGCTTAAAGGTCCTTAAAGGTCCTACTTTGCAATTGATTAAGGAAGATAAGCTTCATTAAAAAAAAATTGGAGGGTAACAGAAAAGAGTTAGCTATGGCTCATGGGTGTGACTGTTGTCACCACTGGGTTCTTCTTGCTCGCTGCTCAGAAAAAAAGTAATTGGTTCTGGCTGAATGTGATTTCTGTTATCTTTCTTAATTGAGATAATTATTTTTTAGTGGCACCCAAATAAAAGCACTTAATAATAAATAATAAATAATTTTTTAAAAAGATAGTCATTAAGCTCTTTGAAACCCTGTTTTCCTTCTCCAAAATGAGAATTATGTAGAAGATAGTATCTAAGTTGGAATACATTTTAAAATCTATGAGGAATTAAGTCTTCTTGGTCACTTCTAGATTCCAAGTACTAAAAACAGCCAATGCACTGAAAACAGCAGGTGTTATAGCAGAGAAAGAGTCTAATAATCTCAGGATGACTAAGCAAGGAGGACAGGAAATATTTTTCAAATTTGCCTCCCCAAGAATTTAGACACTAGGGTTTTTAAGGATTGCTTGGAGGGCAGCGGAGTAGGGAATTGGTACTATTGATTGGTTGGATCGGGGTGAAATCACAAGGGTGCCAAAATTGTCCTAGTGTGCTATCAGGTCTAGGGGGGAGGGATTTGTCGCCAGTCCAAGCGGCATCAGTTGGTCCACAAGAATGCAAAGTTTGAAAAATATCTCAAACACATCTTAGGTTTTACAATAACAATGTGATCTGTAGGGGCAAATGGGAAAGTTAGAAATCTACGTCTAAATTATAGGGGCAAATGGGAAAGTTACAAAAGGCAAACTAGAAAACAATAACCAGTTATATTTAACTATGCCTAGGACTTAGCAGAATTCAGGGTCCTCCCATAATTCTAAAGTCGTAGCCTTTCATTAGGTTCATAAAGCTGGTTTTGGGTCGCAACAAGGAGGGGTTAGTTTTGGGAAGGGACTATGATCATCCTTGTTTTAAAGTGAAAGTATAAACTAAACTCCTCCCATAGCTAGCTTGGCGTATGTGCAGGAATGGGCAAGAACAGCTTGTGAGGTTAGAAGCAAGATGGGGTCAACTATATTATATGTCTCTCACTATTGTAATTTTGCAAAGGTAGTCTCATGACTTTCTCCAGGCCTCTCAGAAAGAAATTTAAAACAAAGAATGATGGTCAAAGTTCAGACCTTAGTTTCCCCTTATTTGAGGTCTACATGCCAATGGATCCATTTGGTAGGGATCTGGGCTTTGGAGAAACAACTTAGACACTTATATTGTTATCTTTAGTTTCTATAGGGAACAAAATGTCTCGTGAGTTCGACTTCATTGGCTATTATTTTAAGCTACTGTTACATTCTGGCTTATCACATCTTTTATTTACTTCTCAAGGCTAGCTAGGTGCCTGAAATTTCCTTTGAAGGAACTCAAGATTTCTCTTTATTTCCATACTTGGTGGGGAGGTACACCTGACTCTAAGAGGGGGGTCCCGGCTCTGTCTCACTGGTGAAACTCTAATAAATAGTCTAAACATCCATTTATGTTCAGCTTAAAATCAGAAATGTTAGTACCCATTAAAACATCCAAAAAGATAATTAATATTATAATTTTAGAGACCTGTTAGATTTCATGATTACTGCTGAGCTTAACTACGGTGGCTTGTCATATGTAAATATTACCACTGACCTAAGAGCAGCAGCATATGCATTTTCCAGGTTTTACTGTAACGTCTTTTATCCTTAGATAAGGAGCTTAGTGCCACAAATCCACTGGTATTTTCTTGTAGCCACATTCTCTGGCCTAATTTCTAGCACCTATGGTGAGCCTTTTTGATGTATGGATAAAGACTCATCTATGGAGATGTGGCATGTGTGCCATTTTGTCAAATATTCAGCTCAGATTTTTTATTTGGTCCTGATATGGTTTGTCTGTGTCCCCACTCAAATCTCATCTTGAATTGTAACTCCCACATTCCCATGTGTTGTAGGAAGAACCCTGTGAAAGGTAATTGAATAATGGGGGTGAGTCTTTCCCATGCTGTTTTCATGATAGTGAATAAGTCACATGAGATCTGATGGATTTAAAAATGAGAGTTTCTCTGCACAAGCTCTCTCTCTTTCTGCCTGCTGCCATCCACATAAGACGTGCCTTCTGCCATGACTGTGAGGTCTCCCCAGCCAAGTGGAACTGTAAGTCCATTAAAACCTTTTTTTCTTCCCAGTCTCAGGTATGTCTTTATCAGCAGTGTGAAAACAGACTAATACAGGTCCCCTTTATATTGTCTCTTAATTCTAAAATGCTATTTTTACAAGAATTGACAACTTTATAAAATGCGTAACCCTAAGTAGAGCATTTTTTTGTTATTGGTAAAGTGGGTCTATATCAGATGGATTTTCCCAAAAGATATTTTCCTCTACAAGTCAGATTAATAACAATAAGATAAAATCAGTGGGAGGCTGACATTCAAGTCATTTAAAAGCTAAAAAAGCAAATAGAAAGCAAATATATGCTGGTTCTCAAATCAGATTGCCCACTAACAATAAAGGAAGGCTACTTGTGTAGTCCCAGAACTATGAAAAATGCTCTATGTGTCCTATGCTTTATGTGTCCTTGGTTTTGCTGTTTCCTATCCTTGGTTCAGAGCAGTGAGGAGACAGATTCCAAAATTGCACTGTTCTTTACTTTTTGAGCAGGCCTCCTTCCCACCAAAGATTGTTCCAATATGCATATTCTACAAATACACTCATTAAGTTTAAAAACTTCAACTTAGACCAGCTGTCTTATTTTAAACTTTGTCTTAATTATACATAAGTAGAAAAAGCTGTTTTAACAATTTGATATAAGTGGTCATCAAATCAAAGAGAAAATAATTTTCTTGTTACAGCTACTTCTTCATATAAATGATCTACTATTTGGATTATGATGCAAATATTGGATGGGAGTGCTTCCAACATCTTCACGCTTAGCTTCGTCACCATGGTAAAGTTTGGTGATGGGAACAAGATGCATAAAGATAGCATGATGCAATACACCTTAATTTTAAATATTCTTAAAATAATTTGCTTCAATGATACATCCTTAAGTGCCTTGTCTACCTACTATTATTACACAACACCTCATGTCCTTGTTTTCAGTTTCCTGTTAGGAACACACACATTTATTACCACAATATCTGTCTATTATCTGATGGGAAAAGGTATAATAATGGGTCATTGGAACATGAGGAGAACATTTGTGTGATGGTTGATATTAAGCCAAAGGTGTTTTATATTCTTTCAGAGGATATAGTCCAGATGCCATAACATTATTAGCAGAAGCTGGAAATGTGCTTTGAAGGATATATTCCTGACATTTCTGTGGAAACAACAAGACTGTGAATGGAAAGCCTTCAGGCATGAATGGGCTTAATAAGTCACGGATTCTGGGTCAGTGTTTGAAAGGCTAGATTTGTATAGTTAAAAGTATGCTAAAGGACATATAAGTCCCCATGGAAATTAAGTGGCCGATAAACTCACTATTATTTGTATTTCTAAATATTTCTCCTCATGACATGTTTTTTTCTGGAATTCAGAGTGACTTTTGCTTGCAAGTCTTGTTACATTTAATGCTTTTTTCTTGTTCACTCATTGTGAGTCTGAAAGTTCCAGCTGATCTGTTCCATCTGTGACACTCTGCTGAGTCTGGTCTGTCTGCTGTACAATAATTGAGATTGTTTACTTGCACCTTTTACAAGTTGTGAACTCTAGTAAGTGCCTAGTAAATACCAAAACATCCTTATGAAGTAAGTAGTATTGTTTGCATCCCTAGTTGAGGAATTTGAGGTAGAGGCATAAGTTGGCACATTAGTAAACATTTTTTTCTGACCATCAACATGCATTTTTATGGGCTGAAAATGTAAGTAGACACATCTTTAACTTAACCAGACTTTGGAATACTGAAGCATGACAAATGTCTTTGATGACCTGAGAAGTACCCAAATTTATATCAAGAGCGAAGAAAAGTGAATCACACACCCACTGATCCACATGTGTTTTGAGGGTTACAAATGTTGAGGCAAATACGTGTTACTTTTTATCTCAGTGTCACATTCTTAAACTTGATGTGCAGTTCAATTCATTGGCACCTCAGTGAGGAAGGAAAGGAAAGAGGACCAGTGTGAACAACAGTATTTTGGGAGCCCCTTCTGTTTCCCAAAGAGTTTTAAAGGGCTTTCTTTCATATTACTTGATATAGTATTTACAACAATCCTGTCCAGGAGGTGTTATCAGTCCATATTATAGTTGTAAAATTCGTAGTCTTAGGGAGGCACAATAAAAATGTCTCAATATTCCACAGCTAACAAGAAGCAAAAACAAAATTCTAAGCAATGCTTTGCCTCCAAGCTCAACTACAGTGTCTTTTTCGGACCCTGCACAAGTCCTTCTCAGGCCCTAGTCATACTTCTCAAATTTTTCTCTTCCCCTTGGCTTTCCATATTTTCATTAAGAGCACTTGAAAACTTTGCTACTTTCTAGTCTTCGAAGCCAGATTTACACATGTTCCTGAGTAGTGGAATGAGTCCTTAGAAAAATTTCACGAGTACTCATTCTTTGAACTACAATTGACATATTTCTCCATACTATCAAGCTCCAGTTCTGTGCTCCTGAGATATCAATTGATTGCTGATAATCACTTTTAAAATCACCACTAAAACTAGTTTTTAAAGAATAATATTATATAAAATACCATGAAGAAAGTTACCTCTTGGCCAAAAATGGCTGAGTCTTGCAGAACATGACCATGTCAAATAATCCATATAGCCTGGGAAGAATTACATTATAATTAAAAATTGTAGTGGAAATTATTACTTAAAATTTCCCCGGTGACCCTTTCCCCTAAGGATTTTATATTTCTTTTTTTGTTTCAATAATGAGCACCAAAGGAAGAGCCAGTTAGAATGTTTCTCAACTCAGATAAGTAATTCAAATCGTTGAGTGTGTGATACCAAAGACCTTATCAACAAAATTACCATGATTTCTTATCCCATGCATGAGCATGATTTTGCTCTCCATTTATTCCAGTTTTTGTTTATAATTGTCATAGATGGCTTTTATTATTTTGTGGTATGTTCCTTTGATGGCTGGTTTGTTGTGGATTTTTATCATAAAGGGATGTTGGGATTTGTTGAAAGCTTTCTCTGTGCTTATTGAGATGATCACATGATTTTTGTTTTTAATTCTGTTTATGTGGTGAAATGCATTTATTGACTAGCAATCTACTACCATAATTTTAAAACAGTGATGAGTAGAAAGGATGGTAAGACATTTGCAATAAGTATAATGTAATAGGAACATATCTGTGATTTATACTGGTAACTGCAAAACAGTTTCTGCCTTTACTACTATGGGCTATCACTTTTAATTGAAGGACATGTTAGATGTCAATTAGAGTTGAGAAAAAATAAATATTTGTTTTTTTGTTCATGTCTTCAGACCACTTTCCATGGATTCTCAATTAAAAATTTTAAAAACCCAGTTATTTGACTATTGGAGACTTTAAGTTATGAATTTGGTCCCTTCCATTTTTCAGAGGATGAAATAAAGACTCACAGTAAGTCTGCAGAATCACACAGCTAAGTAGAGGCAGAAGTCTTCAGTCAGCCCATTTCACCTGCATCTTATTACTGCATTGACATGGATAATTTTCTTTACCTCCTTTAATTTTTTAAAAAAGTTTAAAATATTTCTTTGTTTGGATTTTATGAATTCTTTTTCCAATATATTCCAGATAGTCTGGGATATTGTTATTGTGAATGGGATGATGTTTTCTCATTATACTTTCTAGTTGGTTATTGATGGTGTAGACCCTGGTATTCAAAGAGCAGTCCATGTTGCAGCAGCGTTGGTATCACCTGGGAGATTGTTAGAAAGGTCCAATCTCTGGCCTGGCATCACGTCAGACCTCGTGAATCAGAATGTCTTTCAGTAAGATGTTCATATGATTCACACGGACATAAAAATTGTAAAAGAAATCAATATAGAGAAACTTGATTTAGAGAACCATTGTCTTAATTTTCTCTTGAAGAAAAACACTTTCAGTTGCACTATGGGGACAGCGGTCCAATTGTCCCATAGTACTTTCTCTTCTGTTCCTAACCCTTACTCCTTCAGATCTATTCCTGCACCCCTTCCACAAGAGTTTTTGGGGAAACTCAGATTTTAAATCTCTATGGGGTTGCAGATTTGTTAGCTTGATGAGATTTTGCTCTTAATCTGATTATAAAATGTTCTTAAGTTCTTAAATATTTCAGGGTTTCTATTTCCCATGGTTTTTTTTAACTTAGGGGGTTTTATTTTCTATAATATTAAGGCATGGGGAAAGAAGAAATATTATGAATGGGAGCTCAGCAGCTATCTGGCATCTTCTAAACATGTGGGTTTTTTTTTTATTGTATTTTTGTTTTTTTGCTTTTTTTTTTTTTTTTGAGACACAGTCTTGCTCTGTTGCCCAGGTTGGAGTGCAGTGGCGTGATCTCGGCTCACTGCAAACTCCACCTCCCAGGTTAAAGGGATACTCTTGCATCAGCCTCCCAGGTAGCTGGGATTACAGGTGTGTGCCACTATGCTCGCCTAATTTTTGTATTTTTATTAAAGACAGGGTTTCACCATGTTGGCCAAGCTGGTCTCAAACTCCTGACCTCAAGTGATCTGCTTGCCTTGGCCTCCCAAAGTGCTGGGATTACAGGTGTAAGCCACCACCCCTGGCCTAAATATGTACATTTTAAAGTCTAGTAATATGTTGATTCAATAGAATAGTGTTTCTTTCAGTTCCTAAAGCAAAATGTTTAGAATTACACATTTTACTCTGTTAACTCATATATACATACATACATAAATTTGTAAAAGTATCTGCTGTATTGAATTTATACCGAAGCTCCCCTTTGAAAATAAAAACATATGCTAGCAAGAAAAATTTTGTATTAAAAGGCTTTTACATTTTGACTGTATTTTCCAAATTATCTCAGGAAACTAAATATTTCTCTTTTTTCTAGAGCCAGCTAAGTTAGCCATGAGATATTGTTGGACATTCCATCTAATAGGATAATGAAGATAATGATACCCATTTTTGTCATGATTTAGTTAATCTAGTCTACGTGGGAATTTATACTTTTCTGTCTAGACACTTCTGTGATTTCCTTTTTTATTTTTTACTTTTGTAAGTTCTCATTCTGAGTTCCACTTATGAATCAGTGCTGTCCATCACTATTTTTTAACTCTTGTCTGGAGTAAAAGAAAGCCCCAGACCTTTTGTAGGTTTAACTATAGTATTAATAATGATTGTGGGGCCAGGCGTGGTGGCTCATGCCTGTAATCCCAGCATTTTGGGAGGCCAAGGAAGGCGGATCATGAGGTCAGGAGTTCAAGACAAGCCTGACCAACATGGTGAAACCCTGTCTTTACTAAAAATACAAAAATTAGCCAGGCATGGTGGCGCATGCCTGTAATCCCAGCTACTTGGGAGGCTGAGGCAGGATAAACACTTGAACGTAGGAGGTGGAGGTTGTAGTGAGCTGAGATCACACCACTGCACTCCAGCCTGGGCAACAGAGCCAGACTCCATCTCAAAAAAAAAAAAAAATTGTGGGATATATTATGGTCTACTTGTTACTAATATTAAAATGATTTTAGGTAATAATTATCACTTTAATAGTATTATTAAATCCTTGGATGCAGAATACACTTTTTTGGCTATTTTAAGTTGGGTACAGTGGAAATTGTCTGTAACATTAGGTATGACCAGAGGCACATATTATAATACAATTGTAAATAGGAGCAGCAGGAAATGGCTACAAATTATGATTCTAGAACAGTGCTTCTTCTTCTCGATCTTAAATGGGCATTCCAATCACCTGATGATCTTGCTAAAATGCAGATCCTGATTTTCCAGGTCTAGATTGGAGCCTGAGATCTTTTGTTTCTCACAAGCTCCTAGGTGACTGCCCGTGTTGCTGGTCCACAGACCATACTTAGGGTAGTAAGGCTGTAGAGCAGTGGTTCTGAAAGTGGAGTGCCCAGAAGCAATCTGCTAGTGAACTCTCAAATAATTCTGATGCACCCTGAGTTTGAGAACCTCTATTCTAAATCATAGAAATGTTTATATCTTTGGTACCATAAACCAAATGTTCACCCTTCATTAAAAGTGAAAGAAGGCAAAGACGTGAGGTCTAATGACCACATCCTCCTGAACAGTTGTTTAATGTATGTATCTTCCTGAAATAGCTGTTTTACAAGACAAGGGAGAAGTTAATTTTCCTAACTGATGAGACTCTCCTTGAAGTAACTGTCATCTCATCATAGAGGAGGGTGCTATTCTTATCTTATGATATGTATATGTAGAGAGAGAGAGGAAGAGAGACAGGGAGAGAGACCCTTATTTTCACATGATCTTTCCCACTGTGAAGATAGGACCCTTAATTTTAAAGGATGAATTGTTTTGGAGCACATGATTAAGATTCTACAAGGTACACACTACAAGTTAGAGAGTGTATCATAATGGAAGAAGGGCAAATGTACAATATATATTTATAAATGTTATATATATAAGTACTATATATTTATAAATGTATATATATAGCACTTATATATGTGTGTGTATATATAGCACTTATATATATAACATTTATAAATACATTATAAAATACAATATATAAAGTGCCTGGTGTATTAGTTTTGCTTTTTCATGAACAATTCACTGATGGTTTCATTTTCCTCAAAATCCTTAGTGGAAAATTGCAATATTGGCAAAAGCTTCAGAAAAAAATATTTTTGAGGCAGTTTACATAGACTACAGTCCAAAAACAACAGAGAGATAGGTTCGTCCAGGGGTTGCATGCAGGTAGCTACCTCAATTAACTCATTGTCTCATCTCCTAGGCTGCTGAAAGAGGAGAGGGAAACTCAGGAAAGGGGCCCAACTCACTCAGGCACATTCATTTTAATAAAGTTCACAGAAAGGTGAGGAACCTTAGAATCATTAGCAGAGTTTGGAAAGAGACAGAAAGATGCAAATAAGCCCAAAGCCTTTACCTAGGACACCCATGTTCAGAATCTTGAGACCTTTGGGGTTTTCAAGATAACTTTCCATACGGGAAATAGCCTTGTATTGAACCAGGATCACCCAATGCAGTAGGCCACCTCTTATGGACAAGTTGTTCAATTTCTATGAAACACCAGGCTTATCAAATAATGGTACAGATTTGGGCACAAATTAACTGGATTCTAGTTTTAGAAACTGCTTTGCTCATTAAATATTTTTTCTTCAACTGTTAGCAGCAGTCAGTCAAAGCAATTTTTAACCCAATTTCCACATCTTAAGTATGTTTTTCCACCTAGTCCAAGGTAAAGTGGATGGGTCACAGGTCCAGATAAATCATAAAGGTTTTTCATGTTTGACCCACAGAAGTGAGTCATTTCTCCTTTGCTTAAAAAAAAAGGCCTCTTGTCTTCTCCCATTAAGATACATTCCCAACATCCAGCATGTACCTTATGGAATCTTAATTGTGTCCATCAAAGCAAATTTAACTTGAGAAGTAAGGTTTCTGTCTTCACAGTGAAACATGTCATGCTACAGTAAGGCAGTCCCAACATTTTGTAATACAAGAAGAAAATCATCCAAATAGTGAAAAGCAAGTGTGACTCAGAGAAGTGAGATGGCCCCTTGACAGGTTATCTTTTTCCAAAGATCACTGCAAAATAATCCCATCTCACGAACTCCTAGAGTGTGGATTTGACGCTCCTCTCATTAAGAGGGGGGATTCTATGTGGGTGGCTTATGACTTTGACCAAACTGAAGCCAATGCTAATTCCTAAAAGGTGATGCATCTTCTGTCTGATTATTTTTGAGCACCTGTTTTTGGAACACAACCACCATGATGTGAGAAAGCCTAAGCAGACCCATGAGATTGCCTATGTAGGTGCTTAAGCAATAACCCCAGTAGAGAGCCAACCACCAGTATTAGCCTCGAGACACATGAATAAATGTCTTCAGATGATTCAAGCCCCCAGTCGTCAAGTCACCTGCAGTATTTGAAGATTGCGGTTGAGACCTCAGATATCACAAAGCAGAAACACAAAATCATCATTGTGCTCTTTTGAAATTTTTGAATTGCAGAATCCATGAACATAATAATATACTGATTGTTTTATTGAGTGATGAATTATGCAGTAATACACGTATACACACGCACAAACTATGTTTACCAGTAGATGGATGGCATTTGTCATCTAGAAGGTTTCTTTTCTTCTCACAACATTTTATATTTGCAGAAAAGAGAACTACTTCAAAGATTGTACATTGCCTCATACTTCAGACCATTGCTAATTGTATGGCCTGATCAGATAATATTATAATTGCAATGTCAGTGGTCCCAAAAAGCTACATAAGTACCACAAATTTTAGAATGTATCTCATCTCCAATATGGCTTAGTCCTTAATCAGACTGATAATAACCTACCCCATGCAGAAGTCATGAATATGTGTACAAATCAAGATATGCTTATTCTCTTTATTCCAGGTTCTTTGCAAGACCAAGCTTTCCCTTTGGATGCAAGTTGCATGGCATAATCCCAGGTGGGTGGGCTAAGCTCTGACATAGTACAGCTCCCTCATGGCCTGTTTTTCTTTCCAGTCTTTATTCAGGACGATGACTGCCAGATAGGCCATCAGGGTTTATTCACTGCCTGATGTCCACATGTTAAATCCAGATCCAAGTTGTCATATGATTGGAAGGAGATGTTATAAAATGTAGATTTTGTGTTTACATTTTGTTCCAGATGGACCAGCATGGATATTTCCCTGGCATAACTTGTTCTTTTACATCTGTGGAGCAGCAGTGAGTTGATTGTGTCTTCTTGAAGATCAAGACTGGTGAGGATGTTTGGATAATAATCAAAAGACTATGTTGGACACCATAGTCTTGAAAATATTTAACAGCATCCTCTCTGTGCTAATATGAACTTTGAAGAAAATGATGCAGTAGGATACAGAAAAGCTTCAAAATACATTCATGGGAAACAATAATGATGTTTATTGGAATTAATCACTGCTAAATACCCTCTTATAACAGGACATTTGGATGGTTCTAGCTAATGCCAGAGAGGGGTAGATTTTATAAAAAGATAAGAAAAGATTAAGGAAAATCATGAATAAGGAGAAGAAGAAGACTGGGACATTTATAAATAAGGTACAGAATCAGAGTATGTAAGGCATGAATGGAGTCTTGGAGTGTAATGGGAGGTAATTTGCTACATCTAGTTGCATCCAAATATGGTGCTGAGACTTTCTTTTCCACCTTAGTATTGATATGTCTGTTTATCAAGGGCCCCATTTTTTGCTTTCAGGTATTTTCAACTAATTTAGATCCTTAAAAACAGTGGGTTCCCAAGAGATTACATGGGATTTAGCCAAATTTCAGAATATGGCCAAGTACTTTTACTAAAATAACCAAATGCTAGCAGTTGGCAACTTTGATGAGCCCTAATTCCCAGGGACCTAGAGAATATCTTCTATGCCAGATAATATAAATTCTTATTTGATCAGCTGTGATATATTCTGTATGCATTGGCTGCATTTTTACATGGCTTTCCAGAGCAAGCCATAATAAAGTCTTCATCTGGAAGCTGATTTTTTAAATCCTTTTCTTGACTTTAGGCCATTCCTCCTTCTCCTAAATCACTAGTTCTCAAAGTGTCGTCTGTAGATTAACAGTATCAACATTGGCTGGAAGCTAATTAGAAATGCAAAGTTTTGAGCCACACCTCAGATCTACTTCAGAAACTCAGAGGCTGACTAAACTTTGCATCTTGTTAAGTCTTCCAGGCAATTTTAACACATGCTAGTGTTTGAACACCACCTTCCTAAGGTTGTGCATGAGCTCTGTCAGCCTGGGTAAGCCTCATGCATTGAGTTTTATGGGAGAGCTAGAGCAGGTTTGTCAACCTCTCTCCTTTTTTCTCGATTTGCTCCATACTCAGTTCCACCAGGGCCTGCTCTTTGGATGCTCAGGAGCACATATTGGAGGTCAAAACAACTGCCTTTCTCTTTATCCTTTTGTTTTAACAACCTAATTTTCCTTGAGGTGGTGTGGAGTCATCTGACTGAGAAGGGGAGAGGGTTGGTAAAAAAGGAAGTATAGAAAAGGGAAAAAAAAATCTTTTTAGATACACTCTTGCTACCTGGGAAGACAATGTCAGACAATTATATGATCCACCTAATTTAACGTCTTTTTTTATTTTTAGCAGATATATCACATGGAGAAAATATACTTTTATGTAAATAAAAATCAGTGAAATAAATTTTGCTTTGCTTTGTGCTTAGTGTATGTGATATTAATAACCAATAAGTTATTAGAGGTTCTTCTTTCTTTTATTTTAAATTACATTCTTAATCAATGTATTTTAAATCATCTCTCTTACTGCTTCCATACCTCTAGATTATATAAGAATAGAAAATATGACTCTCAGAATGATCAGCCTGAGTAATGCAACATTTCAGATAATCAAAACAATTTCACTAAGTTTGTCAGCATCCAGTATGGTAAGCTCCAATCACAAAGATAAAATAATCAGAATTTCCACTCATAGTTTAACTTAAGTTGCCATCTCCTATTAGATTTAGGTCAATGCCTCCTCAAAAGTTATATACAGATACAGTGACTGACTCTTCATTCAAAAATATTTACTTTATATTTTTATCACATAGGGAAAAAAACAGTCTGTGTGTGTGTTTATGTATGTGTGTCTTCAATCTCTGTTTCTCTGTCATCTTTTTCTTGTCTGCATTAGTCCATTCTCACGCTGATCTGAGGAAATACCCAAGACTGGGTAATTTATAGAGAAAGAGGTTTGACTCACAGTTCCACATGGCTGGGGAGGCCTCAGGAAACTTACAATCATGGTGGAAGGCACCTCTTCACAGGGCAACAGGAGAGAGAATGAGTGCTGAGCAAAGGGGAAGCCCCTTATAAAATCATCAGATCTCATGGGAACTCCCTATCACAAGAACAACATGGGGAAACCACCCCCATGATTCAATTACCTCCACCTGGTCCTGCCCTTGACACGTGGGGATTATTATAATTCAAGGTGAGATTTGGGTGAGGACACAGAGCCAAATCATATCATTTTCCTTCTTTAAACACATATTTGTTGCCTCTACCCTATTAAAATAAAATAGCATAAAATACTTCTCTCATTAATCCTGTTCCAAAAAATCTATTCTACCTCTGTATTTTCGTTGAAAAGTATGAATGTGAGTTATTTTAAGTCTACAGGAAGCCTACTGTATGGAAACAACTTCTTAATAATTTCAGTTATAAATGATATTCTATTCACTAAGGCTGCAAATTTAAAGCCACATTATTTTTAAAATGTCAAGTTCAACTTTCTAAGTTTGCTTAAAATAAAATTATTTTTATGAAAATTCAATAATTTGCACTTTTCATAAATATAAATTAATTTTATTATATTAAATATCTATAAGGATTAGCTCCCATTTAATTAAGTATTTTTTTAGCCCCCATTTAATTAAATGTCTTAAACATTTTAAAAGGCAGTCAGTCCTCAGGTAAATTTATTTTCCTGAAGAAACTTTAATGCATGTCAGGACAAATTTGACAAAGGAAGACCAAAAAGGGTACAGAAATGGGCGGGTTACCACCATGGACAACTGAGGCTCGATCCTTCAGAGAACACTCTGAGAGATTCTAGAACACTCTCCCTGCAGAGTTTCAGGAATCTGTGAGAGCAGCCAATTGGTTGAGGGTAGTTTTGGGGAACATTAACATCCTGGCACTTCTAATTTGCCACTTGTTGGTTGAACATGCTTCTGAAGTCAGAAGAAACCTTCAGGCAGAGAGATGCTGAAGTTTAAAGACGGAAAAAAAAAAAAAACTTGACATGTGCCCCAGAATTGTGCACACACTCCAGTAGCACAGGTGACCAAGGAACACGGAAAAAGGGGCATCAATTTCTTCTCTATCTAGTAGTAGTTTAAATAGCATAAAACAGCAAAGAAATCGTCTTTTTTGTTTCTATTGGATGTTTGTACTTGAAGAAATGCTTAGCAAATAGAGGAGGAAATAATAGAAGGGCATGTGTGAACATTTAGAAGAAAGCATCTATTATCATTCAATGATTCAGAAGATAATGACAAGAGACTTTTAGGAATTCTTCACAACAATTTGCTTCTATGGCTGCTCTTTATTTTATTTTTATTTAAAAATACTCTTATTAAATATTAATTAATTTGATTAACTAGGATTTAAGAGATGTTTTAAATATACAGAAAAGAAATAGAATGGTCATGTCACTGTCACCCAGATTTAACATTCTATAACATTTATTTCCAAAAGAAACCTGGTAACAGCACATATAGAAATGTTTTATGTAGAGAATCTGAAATTCCTACGTATTGCAGGTAAGAGGATAAAGTTGAACAACATTTTAGAGGAAACTTTGGCAAGATCTACTGAAGTAAAAGATACATATGAAACGATTACCCACAACTGCATTTCTAAGTGTTTATCTTAGAGAAACTCTTGTGAATGCCTATAAGGAAAGATTTGTAAGCACTGTTTGTAACAATAGAATTCAAAATAATATAGCTGCTTCTCCATCGGTTAATAGACAAGTAAGTTATTTTATTTATACAGTGGAAGCTAAATAGTACTTAAAATGTTTCCAGTATCCTGTATTATTACTATCGAATGTTTGCTGTCCTATGTCCCTTACCTAGTGGCTGATAGAAGATTTAGCCCTATAATTTTGTGGTGTCCTTTCTAGTGGGGAGATTAAAGCTCCCTATCCCACTGGAGTTGTTTGAGGTGACATGACTTATTCTAGCCAATAAAATGTTGACAGTAGTGAGCACACCTCTTCCAAGCAGAGGGGTGAGAAGCCATTGCATGAGTCTACTATTACTGAATGTTCCCTTGGCCTCAAGCTTAACAATATTCCAGAAAGAAGCTGATTATCCTATCTGCCTCAGAATAAACGAAAATGAAATAGACCCACAGCTCATATGGTCTATGAGTGAGAATTAAACTTGTTTATTGTGAGGCACTGAGATTTTGGGGATGTTTGTAGCATAACTCCAGAAATACTGGCTTCCCATCCAAATAACTAGATACTCAGGGTTATGTGCAGATTAAGTGAAAGGAAAAGCAATATAAATTTTATCAAAGGCAAAAGAAAAATAATGTAGTTGTTTATAGCGAGACATAAAAGCTAATGGGTCAGGCTTTCTTCATTAGTACTGCAGTTCCATCAACCTCTTCCGGTAATATTAGCTGTATTCACCTAATGGAAAATTAAATACCCTTGATTAATAAACATGGGAAAATAATTATTTACTAGTGAGTAAATGTGGATTATCTGGTAGAAGGTGTTTTATAGAGCGTAGGTTTTGAAGTCAGATCTGGGTATAGATACTGGGCCTGCCACTCGCTGGCTCTATATCTTTGAGCTTAACCTGGTTGAAGTGGAGGACTCTCTCAATACATTGCAGCTATTATCAAGTAGAAGATTTCAAAACATTAAGTCTTTCATTTAAGTGCTAAATAAGTGAGCTTGGCATGGAGCAAGATCACGGAACAGAAGGCTCCACTAATCATTCCCCTACCCTCTCAAAAGGACACCAATTTAACAACTATCTACACAAAAACAGCACCTTTACAAGAACAAAAATCAGGTGGGCAGTCAGAGTACTTTGTTTTAACTTTGTATCACTGAAAGAGGAACAAAAAAACAGTCTTGAATCGCTTTTGCCACCCCCTCTTCTATTTCCCAGAATCAGCAGTTTGCTGTGGAGAGGGTTTCTGTGTGCTGGAGGAGGGAGAGCACAGGAATTGTGAAGCATTGAAATCAATGCTGTGCTATTACAGCAGAAAGAAAAACTGGACCAAACTCAGTTGCCACCAGCTCACAGAGAGAGCATTTAAACCAGCCCTAGTTAGAGAGGAATTGCTGATCCCAGCGGTCAGAACTTGAGTTCCCAGAGTCCTTGCCACTACAGACTAAAGTGCTGTGGGGCTCTAAATAAACTTGAAAGACATTCTAGGCTGCAATTCCAGGTGACTCCTAGTGCTGAACTGGGCCTGTAGCCAGACCACTGAAGGGACGTGCAACCTACTGAGACACCAGCCAGTGTGGGGCTAAGGGAGTATTGCCATCACCTCTCTCCTAACGCCAATCTACACAGCTCATGGCTTCTAAAAAGATCCCTCCCTACTGTTTGAGGAGAGGAGAGGGAAGAGTGTGGAGGACTTTGTCCTGCATCCTAGATACTAGCTTAGCCACAGCAGGACAAGGCACTAGTCAGAGTTGTGAGGCAGCCTTTCCAGGCCCTAGCTCCCAGATGATATTCCTAGATACAGCCTGGGCCACGAGAGAACTTGCTGCTTTGATGGGAAGGACCTAGTCCTGGCAGCATTCATCACCTTCTAACGGAAGAGTATTTGGGCCCTGAATAACCAGCAGTGATACCTAGGTACTAGTTGAGGCCTTGGGTGAAACTCTGAGACATATTGACTTCAGGTGAGACTCAGCACATTACCATCTATGGTGACTATGGGGCAAGACTCCTTCTGCTTGGGAAAAGAAGAAGGAAAAATAAAGGGGACTTTGTCTTTCACCTTATGTACCAACTCAGCCAAAATGAGATAGAGGACCAAGTGGGCTCTTGGGGCCCCTGATTCCAGCACTTGACTCTTTGATGGCATTTCTGGACCTGCCCTCAGCCAGAGGTGAGCCCAGTGCCCTGAAGGGTAAGTCCCAGGCCAGGCAGCATTTGCCACAAGCTGACTGAAGAGCGCTTAGGACTTAAGGAAACATAGGTGGCAGTCTGGCAGTACTCACTGTGGCCTGTGGTGGCAGTGGCCATGGGGTGAGGCTCCTCAGCCTTTGGAAATGGGGGAGGGGTGGAGAGTGGGAAAGACTGTGTCTTGTGGCTTGAGTGCCAGCCCAGCCTCAGTACAATAGAACACCAAATAGACTTCTAAGATTTCAGACTCTAGTCCCTGGCTTCTGGGCAGCAGCTCTGTACCCACCCAGGTCCTAGGGAACTCACCGCCTTGAAGTGAAGGACACAGGCCTGGCTGAATTTACCACCTGATAAGTGCAGAGCCTAAGGGCCTTGAGAAAGCATAGGCAGTAGCCAAGAAGTGGTGTCAGCAGGTTTTGGGTGAGAACCAGCACTGTACTGGCTTCAAGTCAGACCCAGAACAGAATGGTGGTAGCCAAAAGGGTACTTGTGTCACTCCACCCACAGAATCAGGTGGCTCAGAAGAGTAAGAAACCCCATTTGTTTGGGAGAAAGTAAGGGAAGAGAACAAGAATCTCTGCCTGTTAATCCAGAGAATTCTTTCAGATCTTGTTTAAGATCATTAAGGCAGTGCCTCAACAAGTCTGTGAGAACCACAGTGTTACTAGACTTGGGGTGCTCCCTAAAGGAGATGTAACTTAGATCACAAAACCCAAGAAATTTTTAATATCTGGAAAGTCTTTCCAAGGACCACATGTACAAACAAGCCTAGACTGTGAAGACTACAATACATACGTAACTTCATTGCCCAGAAACAGATGAACATCTACAAGTATCAAAACAACCCAGAAGGCTGGGCGTGGTGGCTCATGCCTGTAATCCCAGCACTTTGGGAGGTGGAGGTGGGTGGATCATGAGGTCAGGAGATTGAGACCATCCTGGGTAACACGGTGAAACCCCATCTCTACTAAAAATTAGCCAGGCGTGGTGGCGGGCACCTGTAGTCCCAGCTACTCGGGAGGCTGAGGCAGGAGAATGGCATGAACCTCGGAGGCGGAACTTGCAATGAGCCAAGATCACGCCACTGCACTCCAGCCTGGGCGACAGAGCGAGACTCCAACTCAAAAGAAAAAAAAAAAAAACAATCCAGAAAAACATGACCTCACTAAATGAACTAAATAAGGTACGAATGACCAATCCTGGAGAAACAGAGATATATGACCTTTCAGACAGAAAATTCAAAACAGCTGTTTAGAGGAAACTAAAAAAAATTTAACATACACATAGAAAGTATTCAGAATTATATCAGATAAATTGTACAAAGAGATTGAAATAGTTGAATAGAATCAAGCAGAAATTCTGGAGCTGACAAATGCAATTGGCATACTGAAGAATGCATCAGAGTATTTTAATGGCAGAATTGATCAAGTAGAAGAAAAAATTAGTGAGCTTGAAAACAGGCTATTTGAAAATACACAGTAACAGAAGACAAAAGAAAAAAAATTAAAATATAGAAAATAGCTTCAAAGGGGCAAATCTAAGAGTTATTGGCCTTAAAGAGGAGGTAGAGAAAGAGGTAGAGGTAGAAAGTTTTTTCAAAGAGATAATAACAGAGAACTTCCCAAGCCTAGAGAATGATATCAATAGCCAAGTACCAGAAGGTTATAAAACACAAAGCAGATTTAACCCAAACAAGACTACTTCAAGGCATTTAATAGTCAAACTTTCAAAGATCAAGAAGGGATCCTAAGCACAGCAAGAGAACAGAAACAAATAACATAAAATGGAACTGCAATACATCTGGCAGCAGACTTTTCAACGAAAACCTTACAGGCTGGATGAGAATAGTATGACATATTTGAAGTACTGAAGAAAAGAAAACTTTTACCCTAGAATAGTATATCTTGGAAAAACATTCTTCAAATATGAAGGAGAAATAAAGATTTTCTCAGACAAATGAAACCTGAGGGATTTCATCATTACCACTCCCATCCTGCAAGAAATGCTATAGGGAGCAGAAAAAAAAGAGTATGTTAATAAACAATAAGTACTCACCTGAAGGCACAAAACTCACTAATAATAGTGAGTACACAGAAAAATGCAGAATACTATAACACTGTCACTGTGGTATGTAAACTACTTCTATCCTAAATAGAAAGATTAAACAATGAACCTATCAAAAACCAAACAAAGCTAAGGAGTAGAATTTTTATTAGCTTTATTTTTGCTTGATAGTTTGTTTATGCAAACAGTGTTCCGTTGTTATCTGCTTAAAATAATTGGTTATAAGATAATATTTGCAAGCCTCGTGGTAACCTCAAACCAAAAATCATACAATGGATACACAAAAAATAAAAAGCAAGAAACTAAATTACATTACCAGATAAAACCGCTTCCACTGAAGGAAAGACATGAAGAAAAATAGAAGGAAAGGAAGACAAAAAAAATAAAAAAGAAATAGCAAAATAACAGGGGTAAGTGCTTATTTATCAATAAAAACATTGAATGTAAATGGATTAAACACCCAAATCAAAAGATGTAGAGTGGCTGAATGGATTAAATATCCAAAAGCCAATGATCTGTTATCTATTAGAAATACACATCACCTATAAAGAAACACATAGACTGAAAACAAAGGGATGGAAAAAGGTATTCCTTTCTAATGGAAACCAATATGGAGCAAGAGTAGTTACACAAAATAGACTTCAAGACAAAAGCTATAAGAAGGGATAAAGAAGGTCACAATATAGTGATAAAGGGGTAAATTCAGCAGCAGAATATACGAATTTTAAATATATATTCCCCCAACACTGGAGTACCCATGTAAACAGAGCAAATATAGAGCTAAAGCGAGAGATAGACTCTGATACAATGATAGCTGGAGACTTCAATACCCCACTTTCATCATTGGATAGATCTTCCAGACACAACATCAACAAAGACACATTAGACTTAATCTGCACTATAGACCAAGTGGAACTTCATCTAATGGCTGCAGAATACACATTCTTTTTCTCAGCACATAGATTGTTCTCAAGAATAGACCTCATATTAGGTCACAAAACAAGTGTTCAAACATTCAAAAGAAAATGAAATAGTATCAACCATCTCTCTGACCACAATTGAATAAAACTATATACAATAAAATGAAACTACACAAATACATGGAAATTAAACGATATACTCCAGAATGACCAGTGGGTCAATGAAAAAAGAGGGAAATTGAAAAGTTTCTAGAAACAAATGATAATGGAAATGCAACATACCAAAACTTACAGGATATAGCAAAAGCAGTACCAAAATGGAAGTTTATAGCAAAAAATGCCTACGTCAAAATAGAAGAAAAACTTAAACAACTTAAGGATTCATCTTAAAGAACTTGCAAAGAAGGAGCAAACCAAATGCAAAATTAACAGAAGAAAAGAAATAATATAGTTCAGCGCACAAATGAAAGAAATTGAAATGAAGAAAACAATATAAAACATGAGTGAAACAAAAAGTTGTTTTTTTTTTAAAAGTTAAAATTGACAAACCTTTAGTCAGACTAACTAAGGAAAAGGGAGAGAAGATTCAAATAAATAAAATCAGAAATGAAAACAGAAAACATTACAACTGATACAGCAGAAATTTAAAGAATCATTAGTGGCTACTATGAGCAACTGTATGCCAATGAACTGGAAAATCTAGAAGAGATGAACATATTCCTAGACACATATAACCTGCCAAGATTGAACCATGAAGAAATCCAAAACCTGTTCAGACCAATAACACATACTGTTATCAAAACAATAATAAAAACTCTCCAAGTAAAGAAAAGCCTGGGACGTGAGGCATTTATAACTGAATTCTACCAAATATTTAAAGAAAAACTAATACTAATCCTACTCAAACTATTCCAAAAAATAAAAGAAAAGAGAATACTTCCAAACTCATTCTATGAGGCCAGTATTACCCTTATACCAAAACCAAAGACACATCAAAAAAGAAAACTACAGGCTAATATATCTGATGAATATTGATGCAAAATTCCTCAATAAGATACTAGCAAACCGTATGCAACAATATGCATTAAAAAGGTGATTCATCATGACCAAGAGGGATTTATCTCTGGGATGCAAGGATGGTTCAACATATGCAAATTAATCAATGTGATATATCATGTCAACAGAATGAAGGTCAAAAATCATATGATCATATCAATTGATGCTGAAAAAGCATTTGATAAAATTCAACATCCCTTCATAATAAAAACCCTAAAAAAACTAGGCATAAAAGGAACATACTTCAACATAATAAAAGCCATATACAACAGATGCATATCTAGTATCATACTGAATGGGGAAAACTGAAAGCCTTTCTTCTAAGATCTAGAAAATGACAAGGATGCCCACTTTCACCCCTGTTATTAAATATGGTACTGAAGTACTAGCTAGAGCAATCAAACAGAAGAAAAAATAAACGACATCCGAACTGTAATGGAAGAAGTCAAATTATCTTTGTTTGCAAATGATACTATCTTATATTTGGAAAAACCTAAAGACTCCACCAAAAAACTAATAGAACTAATAAACAGATTCAGTTGTGGAACACAAATCAACATACCAAAAGTAATAGCATTTCTGTATGTCAACAGTGAATCATCTGAAAAAGAAATTAAAAAGTAATTTCATTTCTTATAGCTACAGACAAAATTAAATACCTAGGAATTAACCAAAGAAGTGAAAGATCTCTATGATGAAAACTATAAAACACTGATACAAGAAACTAAAGAGACCACAAAAAAATTGAAAGATATTCCATGTGCATGGATTGGAAGAAAAATATTGTTATAATGTCCATACTACCCAAAGCAATCTAGAGCTTTAATGCAATTCCTGTCAAAATCCCAATGACATTCTTCACAGAAATAGAAAAAACAATCTTAAAATTTACATGGAACCATAAAAGACCCAGAAAAACCAAAGCTATCTTAAGCAAAAGAACAAAACTGAGGAATCTCATTACCTGACTTCAAATTATTCTAGAGGGCTCTAGTAACTAAAACAGCATGGTACTGGCATAAAAGCAGATATTTAAATCAACAGAGCATAACAGAGAGCTCAAAAACAATCCACACACCTAAAGTGAACTCATTTTTGACATAGGCGCCAAGAACACCTACTGGCAAAAAGACAGTCTTTTCAATAAATGATGCTGGATATAGATATCCATATGCAGAAGAATAAAACTATACTCCTATTTCATGCCATATACACATGCCATATATACAGATCAAATCTAAGATATCAAAATGCAAAACTACACAAAGAAAACGTTGGAAAAAATCTTCAAGACATTGGTCTGGGCAAAAATTTCTTAAATAATCTTCCAAAAGCATAGGCAACAAAGCAAATATGGACAAATGGGATCATATCAAATTAAAAGCTTCTTCATGGCAAAGGAAACAATCAACAAAGTGAAAAGACAGTCCACAGAATGGGAGAAAATATATGCAAACTACCCATTTGACAAGGGATTAATATCCAAAATACATAAGGAGCTTTAACAACTCTGTGGGAAAAAAAGCATAATAATCTAATCAAAAAATTAACAAAGTATTTGAATAAACATTTTTGTAAAGAAGACATACAAATGGCAAACAGGCATTAGAAAAGGTGCTCAACATTATTGATCATCAGAGAAATGCAAATCAAAACTACAATGAGATATCATCTCACCCCAGTTAAAATGGCTTATGATATGGTTTGGATCTGTGTCTCCACCAAAATCTCATATTAAAACATAATCCACCTCCAGGGTTGGAAGTGGAGCCTGGTAGGAGCTAATTGAATTACGGGGTCACATTTCTAATGAATGGTTTAGTACCATCCCATTTAGTAGTGTCTTTAAGATAGTGAGTGAGTTTTCATTAGATCTGGTCGTTTAAAAGTGTGTAACAGCTTTCACTTTGCTCTCTTGCTTCTGCTTTTGCCATGTGATGTGCCTGCTCCCACTTCGTCTTCTGCTATGAGTAAAAGGTCCCTGAGTTCTCCCCTGAAGATGGTTGTTGCCTTGCTTGTACAGCCTGCATAACCATTAGACAATTAAATCTCCTTTCTTGATATTTTGTCCGGTCTCAAGTATTTCTTTATAGCAATGCAAGAAAAGCCTAATACAGCTTATATTCAAAAGACAGGCAAAAACAAATGCTTGCCAGGATGTGGAGAAAAGGGAAAGCTCATACACTGTTGGTGGGAATGTACAACCTCTATGGAAAAGAGTTGGGATATTCCCCCCCTCCAAAAAAAATTGAGCTACCGTGTGATCCAGCAATCCCACTGCTGAGGTAACCCCAAAGAAAGGAAATTAGTATACTGAAGAGATGTCTGCACTCCCATATTTGTTGCAGCACTGTTCGAAATAGCCAAGACTTGGAAGCAACCTAAGAGTTCATCAAGATGAATGGATGAGGAAAATGTGATATATATACACAATGGAGTACTGTTCAGCTATTAAAATGAATGAGATCCTGTTACTTGCAACAACACGGATGGAACTGGAGTTCATTTTATTACGTAAAATAAGCCGGGCACAGAAAGACACACATCACATGTTCTCATTTGTATGTGTGTGTGGGATCTAAAAGTCAAAACAAGGGAACTCATGGACATAGAGAGTAAAAGCATCGTTACCAGAAGCTGGGAAAGGTAGTGGGAGGTGTAAGGGCGAGGTGAGGATGATTAATGGGTACAAAAAAAAATAGAAAGAATGAATAAGACCTACGATTTGATAGCACAACAGGGTGACTATAATCAATAGTAATTGTACACTTAAAAATAATAAGATTATAATTGGATTGTTTATAACACAAAAGAGAATGCTTGAGGTGATAGATACCCCATTCTCCATGATAAGGTTATTACAAATTACATGCCCATATCAAATCTTCTCATGTACCTCATAAATATATACACCGACTATGTATCCACAAAAATTAAAAAATAACCTGTGAGTTTGAAAAAGTAAAAACAAAGAAGTTGTTGTATCTATAACGTACAGGGAACCACAGACATAGATGACATTAAACCAACCTCTGGACCAATAGAACCATATGTACACTATGGAGTGTACATCACTCCATAGCTCTACATTTTTTTGAGATGGAGTCTCGCCCTGTCGCCCAGGCTGGAATGCAATGGCACGATCTCGGCTCACTGTAACCTCTGCCTCCCGGGTTCAAACGATTCTGCTGCCTCAGCCTCCCGAGTGGCTGGGATTACAAGTGCCTGCCACCATGTCCAGCTAATTTTTATATTTTTAGTAGAGACGAGGCTTCACTGTCTCGACTGGTCTCGAAATTCTGATCTCATGATTTGCCCGCCTCGGCCTCCCAAAGTGCTGGGATTATAGGTGTAAGTCACCACTCCCAGCCTACATTTTTTTTTAAATGAAGTACAGCATACATACAATAAATAATATATTCGAGCTTGATGAATTCCTACAAACTAAATCAGTACCTGCCTTGAGAAATAAAACATCACAGTGTCCCTGCAGTTCCCTTTGTGCCTCCTTACAGTCTACTCTTGGCCAAGGGTAATCACTACCTCAACTTCTAGCAGCATAAATTAGTTATGCCCATTTTTGTACTTCATAAAAATGTAAAAATACAGTACACTTTTTGTGGCTGGTTTCTTTCAGACAACATCAAGTTTATGAGATTAATCCATGCCATTGTGTGTAATTGCAGATGACTCATTCTCATTGTAGTGTAATATTTCATTGTTTGATTTCCCATAATTTAGTTATCCATTCCATTGTTGAATTTTGGGGTAGTATTTAGCTTGTGGCTATTATGAATAGCAGCCATGAACTTTCTAATATATGTATTTTACTAAACATAACGTACACATATATGTCATATGCACACTTAGGAGGGCAATTATGAGGCATGGGGTATGCTCTTCTTGAATTTTAGAAACAGCCAAATAGTTTTCAAAGTTGGTATACCAATCTGTACTCTTAGCAGCTGTATATGAAATTTCTGATTGTTCTATATACTAGCCAAAAGCGTTGTTTTTTTTAATTTTGTATTTTAATTTTAGCTATCGTGATGGATTTGTAGTGGTATCTCATTGTGGTTTTAATTTTATTTCCTGATGAGTTAAGAAGTCTCAATAGTAGTTTTTCTCAGTCAGGATACATCTTGTCTTTATTAGGTTTATCAGATATTTCTGAGCGATTATGAGTTAACAAATATACAAAACTATCTAAAGTCTCATGTGAAAAAATATATTTTTTCCCAGGTAAAATACTAGGGTTAAAAAGCACTGGAAATGTTTGACACGATCAGACAATATTGGCATTACATGCCAAAAACTGCTGAATATAAAAATAATAATAGCAGAACTGTTATGGACCAGTCACTGCTCTGGAAGACAGGGATTAAATGATTGAACAATGTACAACTCTTGGCTTCTGCCATGCCAGAGTCTAGTTGGAAGAAAGATCAAATAAATCCCAGTTATCAAGCAAGGGTTAATGATAAAATCGAAGCATTTATGGCATTCTATGAATTCGGAAAGAGGGAAGCACTTAATTATGTGTGTGACAAGTGTGAGGTATGTACGTGGGTAGGGGGAGGAGCTGGGATGACACCAGAGAAGTAATAAAAATTCATGTTGAATACTGAAGCAACAGTAGAATTTACTAAGCAGAAAGTTGGGAAGAAAAATGTTTTAGAAAAAAATGAACTGCACATATAACAAAAGCAAGGCAAGCAACAGGAAATTTTTCCCTGAAAAGTGACCAGTTTGGATTCACTGGAGTACAGTGTGCTGTGGGAAAAGGGTGGGAGATGAAGTGATGCAAAGAGTGTCAAGTACATAAAATCCCCCATCCCGTGCCTGTCAAGGGGATTTGAACGTTCTCCTTTAGGAGACAAGGAGGATCTATTGATGAGATGTATGCTACACAGGAAGTAACGTACACTGGCCTTTGCTCTAAGAAAATCTACTATTCAAAATCCACATCTGTACAATAAGCATATTATCACGTTATTGTTCATGTCAAAAATATCAATTTAAAATAGATTTTCTACAGAGTCTGTTAAAAGCAAGCCTCTTAGCGCCCTTAAGGTGTAAATTTCTCATAAGTTACCAGGGTGACATATATACATTACTACAGTCTTTGTCTGTACTTGGAATATGCGTTTGCAGAATCGAATTCTGCTTTGCTTTTTCTCCATCGATCATACCAGAATACAACTTCTATAATATACAGATTTTCTTTCTTAAAAGTGGATACAGAATTTAGATACCTGCAAAATAATATAACAACCAAATCTTTCCATACTTCAATCATTTTCCCTAATTTTCCAGTTGTTTCATCTATCTTTACTTCATTAATATCATTTTAATGAACCAAATTTATCAAGTTTTTCCAAAGCATTTAGAATCACTTTTTTGTGGAAAAATCTCTCTCCCTTTATTCATTTATCAGAATAGATAAGATTTAATTTAATTACATAATTGCAGTACAGAGTGCAACTGCTATAATCAGGTTTGAGAAAACAGCTCAACTGGAGGGATTCAGCTAACATTGGAAAATGACAGATATGTTAACCCAGTAAGGAGATGTGAATCCAGTAAGAAGCTCACTCAAGAAACTTCTACTATATTATCTTTACTTGGCCTCTGTACTATAAATCTTAGCTGTAGTCTTTCTCCTATAAAAGATTGTAATCTCACATTGCACCTTACCGTCCCCTTCTCCCATCTTTTGGTAGTTATTTTCACTTGCTTTTTCTTTTCTTTTCTTTTCTTTTTCCTCAGTTGGTTACCTTTGGAACCTACATCTGGGTATTACTATAACTAAAAAAAAAAAAAAAAAAAGAAGAAGAAAAAAAGAATTGAGATTTACTCTCAGGAACAATTCGTTTTCCTAAGTCCTAATAATCTCTTTCCAATCTCCTAAAAATCTCCCCCTTCATAACTGACATCTCTAAAACCAAAATCTTTTCATTATTAAAAAGTGACCTCTTCTGATTTAATTATTATTTTCTGTTTTTCTCCTCAAAGTACTTCTGATCTACTATTGTAAAGGACAAACTAATGAAGGAGGGTAGGAGGCTTCACTCCAAAATATGGCTCCATGGTATAATAAGTGTCATGAATTAAATGCCCTTAGAGATCAATAGAAGCTGGAAGAGTCTTTTCCTCTGTCTACCTAAGGCCAAACACTCCCTTCTACCATAGGACAATTGAGGATTAAAAGAATGAGGAAAGAAATTGCAGTATTGAAGGCATAATAGAACTGCTGTCAGCCCTATACTCTGTAAAAAAAAAACCCTGACTTAACCATGATAGTTGGATGTTTGTTGTATGCATCCAAAATGCAATCCCTAAGTGTTACAACATGCAAGTCTCTTTTTTAAAAGAAGCCTTGTTTCAAAAAATGACAAAAGAATTATAGCAAGATCCAGAAAAGACAAGGGGAAACATAATGCAAAATCAAATTAGGCAATGAAGTGGTAGTTGCATGTGATAAAGTAATAAAGGTAAATAGCACAACCAGGGAGATAAAACATTGAATTAGAAAGGATAATTTAAAATGTCCAAGTTGGTTCACATGCAGTGGCTTATTCCTGTAGTCCCAGCTACTCAGGAGGCTGAGGTGGGAGGATCTCATAAGCCCAAGAGATCAAGTAAGCTACGATCATGCCACTGCACTCCAGCCTGGGCAACAGAGCAATACCTGGACTCAAAAATAAATAAATGAATGAACTAATACATAAATACATTGATTAATAAAATGTCCAAGTGATGAGGGAAGAAAATATAATCCCAGCAAAAGCACATAGTTAAAGGGGGCCTTGTTCACGGCAGTATAGGAGCTGAGGGAAATCTTTTCCTTTGCCCTCTGGAGGCGTGCTGAAAAATCATCTGACAAAAGGCAGATCAGAAGGCAAAAGGCAGAAAAGGACATAAATTTATTAACTTCCACCTGGGGGAGAACTACAGAGTTGTTTTACTACCTCTGAGATTGTTACATTGGAACTATGAGACAGTGGCTGATATTGCTTCTTAACTATTTAGAATCCATCATTTTACAATCAACTGGAAGACTTACAGTTAAATAATGAGATGATAAAATAAATCAGACCCTTACTATTAAGAAGTTTCCTGCTATATTTAGGAATGACCTGTGTGTTTTCATAAAAGGATTCACAATTTTAAGAGAACCTGACATATTAGAGTACCCGGCAAGTTAACTTCATGATTTCAACTTAAAATAAATAATTGATATGAGAATTACTATTTTAAATGTAAAAGGCATTGTATAATCTAATTGTTTGTAAACAATAACAGAATGCTTAAGAAAACCTAATTCACCAGATTTGTAAGTTTGAGCTCATAGATTCCAAAGAGTTACTTCAGAACATAGGAGTATTTTGCTTTAGCCCCCATTTAACTAAATGTCTTAAGTATTTAAATTCTGTCCATTTCTACCTTTGTCTGAATAAGTGAAGACTAAATATCTATTTTCTATTTCAACCCAGAGCTTTAAGTTTGATATTTTTATATATTTTTGGTTACATTTCATTGTAGCAATGGTATGGATAACACCTTTAAATAAAATGTTTCAGTATTTCATGTTTATATGACCTCTATGACTTAGGACAATTTCTATCACGAGTGATAGAAATCAAACCCCATATGCCTTAAAGGAGAAAAGCTACAATATTAGCTCATATAACAGCAAAATCTGCACATGGATTTCAGCTACTGCTATAATAGATCCAGGATACTATGTACTTTCAGGACACAGTATCTCTCAATCTCCTTTTCTCAGTTTTCTTTCTTCTGTGTTGGTTTCATTTCCATGCATACCCTCTCAGTTTCTTGGCAAGATAAAAATGAACTCACATCCTGTCAATTTGGCAACCTCAGAGGAAAGGGAGTGTTTATTTCCTAATGTTTCTGTCTCAGTCCATTTGTGTGGCTATAAAGGAATACTTGAGGCTGGGTAATTTACAAAGAAAAAGAGGTTTATTTGGCTTATGCTTCTACAGCCTTTACAGTAATTATGGCACCAGCATCTGCTTCTGGTGAGGGATTCAGGCTGCTTTTACTTATAGCAGAAGGTGAAGTGGATCTGGCGTGGACAGAGATCATATCGTGATAGAGGAAGCAAGAGAGAGGGAGAGGTGCCAGGTTCTTTGTAACAACCAACTCTCCCAGAAACTAATAGAGTGAGAACTCACTTACTGCCTCCCATGGAGACGGCATCAATCTATGCATGATGGGGCCACTCCCATAATGCAACACCTCCCATTAGATCTCAACTCCAACATTGGAAATCAAATTTCAATGTGAGGTTTGGGGACAAGTATCCAAACTATAGCAATTTCCAAAAAAAGTCCTGGCATTTTCTCTAATTAATCAAAATGAATCGTGTGTCCCTTTAAGAACCAATCACTATGGCCAGAGGTAACCAAATGATTCCCACATCTGAAAGTGGTCTGAGGAAGGGAGATATGTTGCCCCACAGGGTGTCATTGTCCTCAGAAGTAAGAGATAAATGCTGAGCAAGCAAATGCAACAAACGCACAATCTAATGAAGAGTTTTAAAGGCTGGTCTGAAAATCTGACTACGTCTTCTATTAGTTCTTCAGAGGATAAAAAAAGAGTTTTATCATCAAATAATAAATTTGTATATGAACATTTGGAACCAAAGCTGTTTTTAGTTGGGGACTAATTACTAGAAGCCAGATGATAACTTAATCATAGGGAAGCATGTGAAATTTATCTAATGGTTTTGTATATAGGAATTGACATGATATTATTGAGATGTCTTTTGGCATTATCTCATATCTACTTGATAATGGAAAAGATCATTTCCTATTTTGAATTCAAAATCTAAAGTCTAATTTTGAAATTTAGCCCTGAATTAATGAAGAAATACATGTTTTTCATTGATTTTGCTGAGAGTGTTTTTTTTGTGTGTTAAAAAAAAGAGAATTATTCCTGAATTATCCCTCTGGAAGAGAATTGTTTCGGAATGTTTTCTGTTTCTATAATATAATACCACAGATGAGTAAATTATAAACAACAGAAGTTTATTTGACTCATGGTTCTGAAGGCTAGGTAATCCAAGATCAAGGTGCTGCATGTGGTAAAGGCTTTCTTGTTGTTTCATAACATGGTGGAAGGGTAGAAGGGCAAGAGACTGCATATATGAAAGAGCTCACTTTTATAACAGAGACTCCTGTGCTAACAAACCCATTCCCACAATAATGGCATTAATCCATTCATGAAGGTAGATAAAATCACCTCTCTTAGTTGATATAATCACCTCTCATAGGCCCCACCTCCAAACACTCGGACCACCAAGTTTCCAAAACATGAACTTTTGGAGGTCATATCCAAACCATAGCATAAAGCCCCTGAGTCCTAAAATTTATGTTCTTACAATGCAAAATACATTTATTCTATCCCAATAGCTCCAAAAGTCTTGACTCATTCTAGCATCAACTCAAAAGTCCAAAGTCCAGAGTCTCAGCTAAGTCAGATGTTAGTGAGACTAAACATTTCATTCTGAAGTGAATTCTCTTCAGCAGTGAGCCTGTGAAATTGAAACAGTTATCTGCTTCCACAGTACAATGGTGGGACCGGCACAGGATGGAAATTCTCATTTTAAAAAGGAGACATAGGTAACTGATTCCAAGTGAGCTCAAACTCAACAGAGTAAATAACATTAAGTCTCAAAGCTGGAGAATAATTTTCTGTGACTCAGTGTCCCACATTCTGTGCACACTGAAGCTTTTGGGTCCCCAAAGCCTTAGGCAGCCTCTCTCCTACAGCTTTGCTGGGGTTAACCCAAACAGCCATCTCAGGTTGGAGTCTTTTGCCTGTAGCTTTTCCAGGTTGGACTTGCATGCTTGTGGCCCTACAATTTGGGAATCCTGGGAGTGGCCCCGCTCCCAGGGCTCCGCTAGCCATTGCTTTCATTGGGATTTTCAGTGGCAGAGCCCCGAAACCCCGGGGCAAGTTTGTTCTTGGGCTTCCTGGTCCACAGCATCTTTTCACTTCTAGGTGGATGAAGCCATGCTCCCATGGCTCTTGCATTCTGCATGCCTGCAGACTCAATACCATGTGGACACCACCGAGGCTTATCACTTGTACCTTCTGAAGCGGTGGCCAGAAAGGTAAGGGAGCTTGCTTGAACTATGGCTGGGTAGTCTGAGGAGCACTGCATTGGAATATAGGGAGCAGAGTTTCAAGGCAGCTCTGGGCAGGTAGTGTGCAGAGGGCTGCTAAAGCCCATCCACAAAAACAATTCTGCCCTCCTAGAACTCTTGGCCTGTGATGAGAGGGGCAGCTTTAAAGATTTTTGAAATGCCTTTGGAGTCTTTTCTCCCATTGTCTTGATGAATACCCTCTGGCTCCTTTCTGTCCATAATAATGTCTTTAGAATATGGTTCCTTGGCCACACTCAAATAGTTTTTTTCACTCTACATGGCCAGGCTGCAAATTTTCCAAATTATTCTACTCTGTTTTCTCTTGTATCTTACTATAAATAATTAAAAGTAACCATGCAGCAATCTGAGTACATTGCTGCTTAGACACTTCTTTTGCCAGATATCCTAGTTTGTCAGTCTTAAATTCTGCCTTCCATTAAGCTCTCAGGCATGGGCACATTTTATTTGTTACTTTATAACAAGGATCATCCTTACTCCAATTTCTAATACCTTGTTCTCCAGTTCCATCTGAGACCTCATTGGAATGGCCTCTAATCATATTTCAACCAGCATTCTGATCACAACCACTTCAGTAATCTCTAAAAAGTTCCAGACTTTCCCTAGTCTGCTCTTCCTCAGAACTTTCACCAGAATTGTCCTCAATGCTTTGTTTATGGCAATCTAGGCTTTTTCTAGCCTGCTTCCCCAAATTCTTCCAGCCTCTACCCATTACCCAGGACTAAAGCTGCTTTCTCATTTTCAGGTATTTATTATGGCAACAATCCCACTTCTCAGCACTAATTTTCTGTTTTAGTAAACTTTCTAATGCTGTAGCAAAATACCACAGACTGAGTAAATTATAACCAATAGAAATTTATTTGGATAACAACTCTGGAGGGAGGGAAGTCCAAAATCAAGGGGCTGCATCTGGTGAGGGTTTTCTTGCTGTGTTATAACACGGTGAAAGAGAAGCAGGGCAAGAGAATATGTGTGAAAGAGAGCTCATTTTTATAAAAAGAGCCACTCCAGAATAATTAGCCCACTCCCACAATAACAGAACTAATCCATTTATAAACATGTAGGTCCCATCACCAAATAACTTCCTAAAGGTCCCAGTTCCCAACACTCTTACACTAGGAACAAAGTCTCCGACACATTAATTTTGGGAAGGACATATTCTAACCTTAGAAGAAGTTATTTTTTAAACATAGAATAATCATATTTGAATAGTTTTTTGCAGAGTAAAATATGAAGCATTATAAGAATTCAAAGGCAAAATAAATTATTGTGGATGGCAGGAATCAGAGGATGCAGTGAAAAACAGAGATTATGAACTCTGCCTTTAAAAATAGGTAGGATGTTAAAAAGCAGAGAAAAAAGATTTAAAGATAAAGTTCAAATTAAATTATTTTCAAGAAACTAAGAACTAAATGTATCTTAATAATAAGAGTTTATAAAGCAATTATGCAAAAATTTCTGAATTATTTTACCAAATTCAGTTCAATTAAAACTGATTAAAAAGAAAACATTAACTTATTACACAAACTTTTGAGCTGAATTATTTTGTTGGTAACTGAGGAGTAAGTTTTTAAATCATAGATAGATTTAAAGACTTGGATAGCTCAACAATTAACTGGTTGGATTTGGCACCTCTAGAATTTTGTCCTCAAAATGTCTTAACAAATGATTTTTTTTTTTCAAACTCTCTGTTCTTGATCATGGAAATTTTTGCTCCTTTGGGTCTCTTGGTTCTTAGAAAATTATAGAACACTAATTGAAAAGTAAGGAACGAACTTACTAAATCAAAACCCATCACTCAGCTTTTGGGTTAAGTAACTTATTATATGCCAAAACCACTTTAAGGCAATCTCCATAAAGTAGAAACAGATGTATTAACCCCTGAATTGGAACATACACAATCTAGTATTATGCTTGCAAATGGCTAGATTTCAGTGATTGATATAATCATGTTAGTAAATCAATTTGTTATCAGTTTCAAAAGCTGGTGGTCTCTTTCTCAAATATTTATAACTTCACTTAAAGCTCTTTCATGGAACATTCATCCTTGATTTTGTCTAAATATTTATTCCCAAAGAGAGTATTTATTTCAGAAATGCTAGCAAGAACAACTTATTTCATAAAAATCCCATAGGGAAATTTGGTAGAATGCATGCAATTATTGAGATGAGTGGATCTAGAAGGTTAACCCATGAAGATAGAAAAACAGCACAAGGTTTAAGTTTTCCTCTGAACAGTATCAAACCTCTCTGGTCTGCAAAAGACAAAAGATTGTGCTCTCCTGCAAGGTTTCTCATTCTGCCCAATCACCATCAGCCATAAATAATAAGAGAATGGTTCTTTTCACATACTTGGATAGCTTGACTTCTGTGCCTCGCTAAAACCAATACATGCCAAGACATAGAATTAAACAAAAAAGCTTAACTGAACTTATTTGAGCCTTAAAAAAAATCAGAATAATCGTAGTTGAAGAAATGTTCAGGCCAGTTATAATATGTAACCAACCTGTTACAGGGCCAAAGTCCATGAACTAAAAAAAAGACCTCACTCTTGAGGAAACAGCAACAACAAAAAATGAAGACAAATAAACAAAAAATTTGTCTTAAAATGAAAGGTGGTACAATTCAGGAATTACCTTGTGAGTTACAGGCAGTCAATTATTAGTTCTTGCAGAGTATGCAAATGAACTTGTGGATCAATAATATTCTTGGCTTCTAATCTTTATTCCTAGCAGTGCAGGCATATGACTGAAGAAGACAAATGTTGTGAAGTTTGTCTAATTGTTTCGTAACTTCGAGGCCAGACAGAATATGAGATTAAGGAAATGGATCCCATTGATTCTTCATTTTTTTCTGCCACCAAATCCAAAATTCTTCTTGAATTTTATTCTTCCCTCTACTTACAATGGAAAAATGCCCTGTCAAATCCAAGTTGAATCCTTGCAGTTTTGTTCTATATCATATATCTTCCATCATTTACTCAAAAGATTTCACTCCTACAGTTATTACCTTTGGAATTTACGTTTAAGTATAGTATCAAAAAGAGATATTTAATTTTCCCATGGATAAAAGCAATCTTCCAATAAGTACAAAGGCCTTTTTTTTTGGATATTAGCTTTGTCTCAACATTCTATTTGTGTACATATGTAACCATCAGCATTCTTTTAATTATTGTTTTACAAAATGCATATAACCCAAGTTGCAAAGTGTGTACGTTGATCAAAATTGTCTTCGTTATTTTATATTTTTATTCAAGATCAAATTTAGAATGAGTTTATCCATTATATTACAGGCATATTTTTGAAAATATTAGTTTTGATGGCTTTTATTTACTTTGGAAAAGATTATGTATTTCATAAAAAGCAAAAAATGCTTTAAAGTTGTGTTTGTTTATAAATTTATTTGAAGAAAAATTGGAAATTTTATAATATATATTTTCCCATGTTGAAATAATAGTTTTTTATAAAAATGTGTACTTTTTCACATTAGTTATATATTTCTGTTTGAGCAATTATAGTATCTCAAGTGTTTATTGTGATTTTTGTTATTTTTCTAATTGATTTTTCTGCACATTATAAAAGCTATTTCCTTGTGTGTATGTTGTGCTTATATCTGTGTATGTTGTGCTAACTCACTTTGCTAAAACTTTTGATAATTTAGTATTGATTCTCATTGGATAGATATTATTTATTTTAAAATATTTTAAATATACAAAACTTAATAGAAAATAACAATAAAATGTCTATTAATCTACTTCATAAAATGTTAACATTTTATCCTTTTCCTTCAGGTTCTTTTAAAGAAAATCTGTTGAAGTCCCTATGATTATCCAAATTAAATTCCAACACTTTTGCAATAGTGTCCACTATTCAATAACATTCCAACACTTTTGCAATAGTATCCACTATTTCGCAATGGTATCCACTAATAAGGAAATTGGGCATTATAATTTGTATGAATTTTTATACAATAACAAATATGTACAGATATGTGTGTACAGTTGTTTTATATAACATTTTATACAAATGACATGTATATCTTACGCTATTTTTAATGAAATACATTTTATGACACATATTCATCATATAGATATATCTGTTGTCTATTCATGTTGGTACTGTATAAATGAACCAAAATATATTTCTCCAGTCTCCTCTAGAGGACCAATAATTTAGCACTACACACACAGCAGTAATGAATATTCTTGTACAAATCTCCTTCTATCTCTGGCAACTTTTGTAATTCCTTCTGTGTTGTATTCATATTTTTATATCTCCTTGATTGTATTTGAATAACATAATTTTATATAAATCATTATTTATACTGATTATCAAAATTTTAGTCTAGAATTATATGTACTATTTTGTGTCAAAAAAGTTACTTTCATTTGTATCTGAAATTGTATCATATTTAACCTGTTTAAAAACTTTAACTTTGAAATCTCTTACTGTCACCAATTTTACTGTTTCTTTCATATTAGAAATAGAAAAACAAATAGAAGTTTATTAAAGGAGCTTATTTAATCCCAAGAGGTGCAATTCTGAATGTCATAATCCTGAATGTTGAAATCCCACGTGATCAAATTTCTGAAATTATAACTCTGGAAAAAATAATTTAAAAATTTGTTAAAAGACATTTATTTACATTTTAAAAAGGCAGTTTATTTGGGAAACATATAAAACACATCAGAACATGTCATACATAATTTACACGACAGAAACGGCAATATAACACATATTGTTTCAAACGTAAACTTGGGTATACAAATGACAGGCACATGAGTGTCTAGCAAATGAACCATGTTCATAAAGAAATAAGTGAAAAAACAAAATGTATAAATGCCTATCAGTATGGTTGGCAATTTTGTGCACTCAGCTTTATGCCTGCGATTATCTGAAATGCTGTGATGGACAGATGAAGACTTTTGACAAGATTGATCAAAAACCTCAAAGGGTCATCAATGCATATGCAGTCACCCAAAGAGCTGAGACCTGGAGAAATTTTATCTTTCAAAAATGCAGGTGTATGATAAGAACATTTCTTTATTTATTGAGGAAGTTTTAATGTTTTCACATTGAAAACCAGGAAAACCAATGGTGTTACTCTCAGTTCAAAGCTGAAAGCCTCAGGCCCCTGGGACCCCTGGTGTAAGTCCTGGAATTGAAAGGTTGGCAAGCCTGGAGCTCTGATGTCCAAGACAGCAGAATAAAAGTCTGTCCCAGCTCTCAGAGAGAATGAATTTACTTGGTATTTGTTCTCTCTGGGACTCTAGCAAATTGGATGTTGTCCACCAATGTTGAGGGCAGGTCTTCCCCACCTAGTCCACTCAGATTCACACATGAATCTTCTTTGGAAACACTCTTACAGACACACAGACAAGTTTATGCCTTACCAAGTTTCAAGTATTCCTAAATCCACTTAAGCTGACATCTAAAATTAAGTCCACCTCTTGTCAAATTGGCACTCATACACATCTTTTTAGCCATACTTAATTTCCAAATAAAGGCAATAACAAGTTAGTAGTTCTACTTAACATGATAAAACTATTCCGTGATTGTGATTTTGGGGATCTTAGATGCTAGGGATGTTAGACTTTAGGGATTTTGATCTTCAGGAATGTCAATATTTGAGGTTATGGCAGTCAGAATTGTGTCTTTCAGGATTCTGATCCTAACCTATTTATTAATATGTGTATTTCATGTATATGTCGGAGATACCCAGGGAGTGAGTAACTCTTATAGAAGTGGCTTAGAACTCTAGCTTACATAGCATCTTCAACAAAGAACAAAAAATTCTTAGAAAATGACAAGACACAGGAAAAGGGCCTTGAGCTTCTAGGAGTGGCCAATTGTAGGAAGGCAACAACTGGGGAACTAATAGTGGATAAAGTCTACTTAGTAAAGCTTATTATACAGCTTCCATCTGTTTGGGCTGATGAGAGTCTAAATTTGTCTTCTGTGATCAATGTTTTCCCTTCCTGGTAAAGAGTAGAGGAGGAACACCTTTGTAAATTTGTGTCCTGCCTTTAGGCAAATAGGAGGAAGGTAGAGAGCTTTTCTGTATCTGTTTCTTCTCAACTGCCTTCAGGACAAAATAATTCTTATGCCAAAGAGGCATATTGTAGGGTGACCTATTCTCCAATCCTTCACTTGTTTGTAACTCCTTATCTGTTCAAGTTTTATCGGTAGGTTACAACAATTCAGTTACATTTTTGGGCTCCACTTCTAATTTTATTTCTTTTGCTATTTCTATTACATCTGCAGCCACTACCTCCACTAGTCTTGAAGCCCTCAAATTCATACCTGAGAATTAAAATCAACTCCTTCCAAACTCTTATAAATGTTGATATTTTCACCTCCTCCCGTGAATCATGAATGTTCTTAATGGCTTCAAGAATGATGAATATTTTCCAGAAAGTTTTCAATTTACTTTGCCTAGATCCATCAGAGGAATCACCATCCATGTCAGTTATAACCTTACAAAATGTTTTTCTTGAATAACAAGACTTGAAAGCCTAAATACTCCTTGATCCATGAGTTATAGAATGGATGTTGTGTTAGCAGGCATGAAAACATTAGTTTTCTTGTACATCTCCATCAGAGCTCTTGGGTGCCCAGGTGCACTGGCAATGAACAGTAATATTTTGAAAGGATTCTTTCTTTCTGAGCAGTAAGTCTCAACAGTGAGCTTGAAATATTCAGTAAAGTATGCTGTAAACAGATGTGCTGTCATCTAGGCTTTGTTGTTTTATTTATAGAGCACAGGAAGAGTAGATTTAGTATAGTTCTTAAGAGTCCTATGATTTTTGGAATGGTAAATGAGTTATTTGCTTCAGCTTAAATTTACCAGCTCCATTAACCCTTAAGAAGAGAGTCAGCCTGTCCTTTGAAGCCAGGCAACGTCTTCTCCTCTACAGCTGGTAGAGTCCTAGATGGCACCTTTTTCCAATAGAAGATTGTTTTGTCTACACTGAAAATTTGTTATTTATTGTAGCCACTTTCATCAATTATCTTAGCTAGATCTTCTGGATAACTTGCTGCAGCTTCTACATTAGCACTGTGGTTTCCCTTTTTACTTTTATGTTATGGTTATGGCTTCTTTATCTAAACCTCATGAACCAACCTCTGTTAGCTTTCAAATTTTCTTCTGCAACTTCCTCGCCTCTCTCAGCCTTCATAGACTTGAAGAGAAATAATGCTTTTTTTCCGAATTAAGCTATGGCTTAAGGGAATGTTGGGGCTGGTTTGATCTTCTACCCAGACCACTCAAACTTCCCCATATTGGTAATAAGGCAGTTTTTGCTTTTGTATCATTCGTGTAGTCATTGGAGTAGCACTTTTAATTTCCTCCAAGAACATTTCCTTTGTATTCTCAACTAGGTTAACTGTTTGGCATAAAGGACCTAGCTTTCAGCCTATCTCAGGTTTCAACTTGCCTTCCTCACTAAGCTCACTAATTTCTAGCTTTTGATTTGAAGTGAGAGACATGCAACTCTTTATTTAACTTGAATACTTAGGGGTCATAATAGGGTTATTAACTGACCTAGTTTCAATGTTGTTGTGACTCATGGAATAGAGAGTCATGAGGAAAGGGAGAGAGATGGGGAAACTGCCTGTCAGTGGAGCAGTCAAAGCATCACAACATTTATTTATGAAGTCCCCATCTTATAGAGGATGGTTCATGGCCCCCCAAAACAATTACGATAGTAACATCAAAGATCACTGATAACATATCACCATAACAGATACAGCAATAATGCAAAAGCTTGAGATATTGCAAGAATTACCAAAATGTGACACAGAGACACACATGAGCATAGGCTATGTGAAAAAAAAAATGGTGCTAATAGTCTTGCTTGATGCAGGGTTGCCACAACCTTCAATTTGTAAAAATACAGTGTCTGTAAAGAGCAATAAAGTAAAACACGATAAAATGAGTTATGGTTGTCCATGAATCTACTAGGAATCAATGTCAAAAAGCAGGATCAAACAAATCCAGTGTTTTACTTTTCTCACATAACAAGGCTTTTTGAGGTAGGATGGTTTTAGATGAGGGTCTTGCCCCATTCCCAATTTTGTTGTTTTGGTTTTGCTAGGCTTTTATAATCTAAAGATTTAATATGAAAATATGTATCTTGAGTAATGATTTTCTATTAAAATCATAACTTGCTCTATTTTACTGTTTCATTTTGAAACTCCTGTTAAACAGATGTCAGAAGATGTTATTTTTCACATATATTTGCTTTCCCTCATCAATTCCATTTTTAAAATGTTATCCTTCATTCCTTAAGAATATACCTCCCTCAGTGACATACGAGCTAATCAAATCCAATGCCACATCAAAAAGATAGTATTTCACGATCAAGTAGGTTTCATCCCAGGGATGCAGGGATGGTTTAACATATGCAAGTCAATAAATGTGACATCACATAAAGAGAATTAAAAACAAAACCATATGATTATCTCAAAAGTTGCAGAAAAAAACATTTGATAAAATCCAGCATCCTTTTATGATAAAAACCCTCAACAAAATAGGCATAGAAGGGACTTATCTCAAAGTAATAAAAGCCATATATGGCAAACCCATAGCCAACATTACACTGAATGCAGAATGGTTGAAAGCATCCCCCCCTGAGAACTGGAAAAAGGCAAGGATACCCACTTTCACTTTTATTCAACATAGTACTGGAAGTCCTAGCTAGGACAATCAGACAAGACACAGAAATAAAGGGCATTCACACTGGAAAAGAGGAAGTCAGACTGTCGCTGTTTGCCAATGATATGACCGTATATTTAGAAAACCCTAAAGACTCATCCAAAAAACTTGTAGATCTGATAAACAAATTCAGTAAAGTCTTAGGATACAAAATCAATGTATACTAAGGACTAGCACTGCTATTCACCAACAAAGACCAAGCTGAGAATCAAATCAAGGACTCAATGCCTTCTACGATAGCTGCAGAAAAATAAAGTACTTAGAAATATACAAGGAAAACTACAAAACACAGCTCAAAGAAATCATGGATGACATAAACAAATAGAAACACTTCCCATGCTCATGGGTGGGAAGAATAAATATTGTGAAAATGATCGTACTGCCCAAAGCAATCTACAGATTCAATGGAATTCCCATCAAAATACCATCATCATTCTTCACAGAACTAGAAAACACAATCCTAAAATTCATATGGAACCAGAAAACAGCCCACATAGCTAAAGCTATGCTAAGCAAAAATAACAAATCTGGAGGGATCACATTACTTGACTTCAAATTATTCTACAAGGCTATAGTTACCAAAACAGCATGGTAGTGGTATAAAAATACACACATAGATCCATGTAACAGAATAGAGAATCCAGAAATAAAGCCAAATACTTATAGCCAACTGATCTTTGATGAGGCATCCAAAAACATAAATTGGGGAAGAGACACCCTATTCAATAAATGGTGCTAGGAAAACTGGCAAGCCACATGTAGAAGAATGAAACTGGATCCCATCTCTCACCTTACACAAAACTCACCTCAACATGGATCAAAAACTAGAAGATAACATCAGGAAAACTTTTCTGGACATCAGCTTAGGCAAAGAATTTATAACTAGGTCCCTAAAGGCAAATGCAACACAAATAAATAAATGGGACCTAATTAAACTAAAAAGCTTCTGTACAGCAAAAGAAATAATCAGCAGAGTAATCAGACAACCCAAAGAGTGGTAGCAAATATTCACAATCTATGCATTGGGCAACAGACTAGTATCCAGAATCTACAAGTAACTCAAACAAATCAGCAAAGAAAAAACAAATAATCCCATCAAAAAGTGGACAAAGGGCATGAATACACTTTTCTCTAAAGAAGATATATAAACAGCCAACAAACACATGAAAAAATGCTTAGCATCACTAACCACTAGGGAACTGCAAATTAAAATCACAAAGAGATACCACCTTACTCCTGCAAAAATACAAAGTAAAAAGTACATAGATTAAAAAAGTGAAAAGTACATAATTACAAAGTGAAAAAACAATAGATGTTGTCATGGACATGGCAAGAAGGGAACAGTTTTACACTGCTGGGGGTAATGTAAATTAGTACAACCACTATGAAAAACAATATGGAAACTTCCTAAAGAACTAAAAGTAGAACTACTGTTTGATCCAGCAATCCTTCTACCGGATATCTATCCAAAGGAAAAGAAATAATTGCGTGAAAAAAATACGTGCACATGCGTGTTTATAGCAGAACAATTCACAGTTGCAAAGATATGGAACCAACCTAAATGCCCATCAGCTAATGAGTGGATAAACAAATGTGGTAGCTATACACCATGGAATGCTACTCAGCCATAAAAATGAATAAAATAATGTCTTTTGCAGCAACTTGGATGGAGATGGAGGTCATAGTTCCAAGTGAAGTAACTCAGGAATGGAAAATCAAATATCGTATGTTCTCACTTATAAGTGAAAGCCAAGTTATGAGGATGCAAAGGTATAAGAATAACATAATGGAAGGTGGGGACTCATGGAGGAAGGTGTTAAGTGGGGTGAGAGATAAAAGACTATATATTGGGTACAGAGTACACTGTTCATGTGACAGGTGCACTAAAATCTCAGAAATGAGCACTAAAGAATTTATAAATGTAACCAAAACCATCTGTACCCCTAAAAACTATTGAAATAAGAGAAATTTAAAAAGAGAATATTCCTCCTGATTTATCCCATTATCACTTCTGCAACTCAGTCTCTATTATTCTATAATTTTGTATATACATACATACATATATAGGCATGTATATACATAAATATATATATTTCTAAGAATGCTAACAGTTTGTTTCTTTGTCATAATTCATCTGTTCTTAATGGATGTAATAGGTTTTTAAAGAACTGTGAAGACTAATTTGTAGAAAATTTATTTGCAGATGATGGCTTTCTTTGATAGTAATTGTTTCAACATTTAGTGATTTGGGGATATGTAATCATATCTGTGAACACATATTATTGATCTGTTTCAAGATTAAAATTAAATAGGTAGCTGGGTTGTTCTTTCTTTCTTTTTTTTTTTTTTTGAGACGGAATCTCTCTCTGTCACCCAGGCTGGAGTGCAGTGGCATGATCTCGGCTCACTGCAACTTCTGCCTCCCAGATTCAAGCAATTCTCCTGCCTCAGCCTCCCAAGTAGCTGGGATTACAGGCCTGTGCCACCATGCCCAGCTAATTTTTTTGTACTTTTAGTAGAGACGAGGTTTCACCATATTGGACAGGCTGGTCTCGAACTCCTGACCTTGTGATCCACCCACCTCGACCTCCCAAACTGCTGGGATTACAGGCGTGAGCCACCGCTCCCGGCCTTGTTTTTTTTTGTTTGTTTTTTTTTTTTTTTTTTTTTTTTTGAGATGGAGTCTCGCTCGGTCGCCCAGGCTGGAGTGCAGTGGCGGGATCTCGGCTCACTGCAAGCTCCGCCTCCCAGGGTTCACGCCATTCTCCTGCCTCTGCCTCCCGAGTAGCTGGGACCACAGTTGCCCGCCACCACGCCCAGCTAATTTTTTGTATTTTTAGTAGAGATGGGGTTTCACCATGTTAGCCATGATGGTCTTGATCTCCTGACCTCGTGATCCTCCCACCTCGGCCTCCCAAAGTGCTGGGATTACAGGCATGAGCCACCGCGCCCGGCCAGGTTGTTCTTTCTCAACCCAAAGAATACTCCTATATGTGCATTGGTGGATTCAGTTTCTTGTTTTAGTATGGCTTGTTGGGGACAGGCAGGACCTTCAGTAGAACATGGACGGCAGGAAACTGTTTCTAGGTGTGGGCACTCTTGCTTTCTCCCTGTGGCTGTACATTAACTATTCTCTAGTGAAACCCTCACTTTGTAGGTCTTCTAGGTGAGGCCAACGCAATTAAGCTGGTAGTAAGAGCTTTATTCTGAAGGAAGAATGCAGTCTGTAGTTGATTGAGGATCTGCTTAACATTTCAGTCCCCAGACTCATGACAAAGACCTACTTTAGGCTGATTCTCATCCTTGTTTAGAAATAACTTTGTGCTGAAAAACAAAAAATAGTTCTGCCTCTGAAGTCACCGGGCTTAAATAGATAAGGAACATCTCTTTCAAACTCAGCCTTAAATGAACTCTCCTGATGATCACCCCTAAGCCACTCTGGATCCCGTTGAATTTGGGGAGATTCTTCTGAGGCTTAGTTAGTAAATGCTCTTCTCACCACCTCTAGAAATTTCTGCTTCCTATATTTCGGGTTTTATTTTCCCTGTTTAATTGTTTCCTTATTTTCATGCCATCCTCCATCTACTGGAAATTTCTGAAAAGTTTCTAACCTAATAAACATACCCCTTCTTTTCCTATGCCTATTATTTATTTATTTTTCTTTTTACATTTTTTTTTCTGTCACTTCAACAGAGTGGAGTGAATAAAAGGATACAAGTCATTATCTTGATCCAAATAAATTCCCTGTTATTGGAAACTCTTTAATTGTTTTGAAGTTGAAAGCTTTTGACACACGCATTATCTTCTTTCTCCAAGAACCTGCTATATGAATTTTGCCAAGGTATCGTTTACAGTTCTGCATGCTCAACTCTCTTTAGTGATTTTATGCACTCTAGTGGCTATTTGTGTGTGTGTGTGTGTGTGTGTGTTTGTGTATGAGATTATTATTTAAAACTATGCAATGTATACATGTAGATCTAAATGATGATAATAATGTTTAACACAGGTGCTCATTAGGTGCTGGGCATTTTGCTAATTATTTTATATGCTTAATTTTGTTTAACCCTCATGACATATGAACCACCAAAACCTTTATTTTACAAATGAGAAGACCAAAGCTGGAAGAGTTTGCATAAGTATCCCAGGTTCTGTAGGCTTGTGAGTGTTGGAGTCATGATTGCATCCAGCACTGGGATTCCAGAACCAGCATTTATACAAACTCTGCTATATTGCTGCTCATGTGTATTTATAATTATTTACCCAAGAAGTGAAGACCTCATGTTCTCTCAGGTATTGAAAAATAAGAAGAAACGCAAAGACTCTTGAGGACTTCTGCATTTAGTAGTCAAATATTAAGCAACAAGGCAAATTACTTGTGGGAAAAATTCTAGTAACTCAGAGGTAAGGATAAACTGCAAATTGCCACATGGAGATTTATTATAATGTCTAGAGACTGGGATGGTTTTCTAATAATTTTCATGAGGAACAAATAGTGCTTTGTGGTTTTCTTTTTAACTGGGTCAATTCTCGATATCATGTCTGGATCTAAGCAAATGCTTTCTCTTTTAGCATCAGAAATATACTTTGAAGTATATTTACCTCCTTAAACCCTGCAAACATACATGGTATCTTACAAGGTCTTTGGTCAGTCTGAAGCTCTGACCTAACTTTTCTAGGCCATTGACTTAGAAAGCCCATAATTCCTTATACACTTTCTTTTTAAAATTAAACTCATCTTTAAGGAATGCTCCCTGTGACAAAGTCCTTGCAGATGACTCTCTTCAACATTTCTCAGTTGAAACAAAATGAAAGGAATAAATAAAAGCCCAGAGAAATAGACTGAGAAGCAGGACTATGTTCAAATCTTACATCTATCACCTATGTTTTCCTAAATCAGTGATTCATATCTGAGTTTTGTTTTCTAATTTTTTTAGAAAGGATATTTAATATATTTAGGATTTTATAAAATTTGATTAAAATATAATATTGTAGGCCTTACACTGGAAACATGTTTTAAGTCTAAATAGAACATCTTCCCTGCAAGGTCAATACAATATATGAAAGTACAGTGACCCTTGAACAATGCAGGAGTTAGAAGTGCTGACCTCGTGCAGTAGAAAATTTGTGTATAACTTTTGACTCCCCCAAAACTTAACTGCTAATAGCCTGCTGTTGATCTGAACCCTTACTAGTAACATAAAATCAATTAATACATATTTTGTATATGTATTATACACTATGCCCTTACAATGAAGTAAGCTAGAGAAAATAAAATGTTGTTAAGAAAATTCTCAGGAGGAGAAAATGTATTACAATTCATTACGTGAAAGTGGATCATCATAAAGGTCCTCATCCTCATCATCTTCATGTTGAATAGACTGAGGAGGTGACGGAGGAGAGGAAGGGTCGGTCTTGCTGCCTCAGGAGTGGCAGAAGTGGAAGAAAATCCTCATATAAGTGGACTGTTTCAGTTCAGATGCCTGTTATTCAAGGGTCAACTGTATTTCATAAAATGTGAGGCACATATGCTAAGATAGAGGAAAACAAACAGGCTCTGAAAACAAACACTCTGACCCCAAAACGCTCACAAGAGCTGTGCAGCCCTGGGTAACTGTTTTAATTTTCTTAAAATGTTATTTATTTACCAATAAATTGGTGCAATTAAACCATTTCAAAATAAAGATGGAAAATAAAATTTGATAAAGTGAGAAGACATTAACTCATATTTGATACTCATTAAATTCTGTACATTTCTCTTAAAACATTTTATATTATACTCATTCAACCAAAAAAACTTAAACTCGTGTGTTTGTATGTGTATGTATACACACAAACACACACAGAAATAACATTCTTTCTGTATTTGTGTTATATATGATGGGAAAACTAATATCAAGTGTTGGTGAGGCACGGAACAATAAAAACTTCCATATTTTATTCTTGTGGGAATGTAAACACTAATAACCATTTGGAAAGCAATATGGCAATTTCTAATATATAGATATTTCTAGTAGACCATGCATCAATTTCACTTTGAGTTATGTGTTGTAGAAAAGTTTTTGAACATGTGCTCACTGAGGCATGTTTAAAGGTATGAATTATATAATTTGAAAGTTCCACAAATTGCTAACAACCTCAATGCCACCAGTAAGTCAATGGAGGAATAAATTATAGTCTGTTTATATAATAAAATGTCATAAAGTAATGATACATTGAGTGAATAAAACGAGTTGTATAAGAATACATAAGGATGCTAACATAGTCAAATAAAAAACACATGGAAAATATGATTGTTTACAGACACACACGTAGGTTGCAAAAGCATAAAACCTTGGATGGAAATGGTATTCACAAGTTTCAGTTTAGAAGTAGCTTCTGAAAAGAAATTGAGAGAAAGGGTGGCACCAACTAGATCTGCCACATTGTATTTATTTAAGAGAAGAAGATGATGTGAAAGCAAATATATTCAAATGTCAATATCATTTGTTAATTCTGGATAGTAGGTATGGAGTGTTGACAAAATTGGTCTCCGCATTTGTATGTTTATTGGCAGGGTTATAAAAGCATACAAATAAGCTCTTTTGGAAACTATGAAAAACCTTTAGTTGTCTTAAATTCTTTCCGGATGACAGCTATACAATCTATATAGGGGATCATATATTTGTATTTTCTATATGTGCAGCTTAGTTATTGAGAGGATGCAATATATGTGTGCACATATGGATATGCATACACTCGATTTCTTTATCTCTGTGTGTACATAAATAACACTCATATTCATACCATATGTACAATGAATTGTGTCCCTGCTGTCTCTTCTCACTGTAAATTACTTTAAATTTTCATAAAACACATTAATATAAGGAAATGTTTTTTGACTTACCCTTGACTCTTTTAACAGATTTTATTGACAGATGTTGCTTTAAATTTTCTTAGGTAGCACTACCCTTTTTTCTCCAACCATTGGCCAAGACAGATCCAGGATTTTCTTCCTCTCTGCTTTGTTTCATCATTTTCTGTGAAAACAGGCTGGACACACTTTAATAACATTTGTTATTAACATATTTTAACTTTAAACCTGTTAAATAAGATATAGTGTATTCAGAGTGTACTCGGGTCATAAAAAGACCGGAAATCTGCCTTTACATCTCATGGAAATGTCTTATGAAATGTCTAGTAATACACCCGCCTAATTGCAATTTCCTGTAACTTAGAGTGGCTTTTAATAAAGCTTATTCTTTTTATGGTTTACTGTAGCCTGACTTCTGGATTGTGTGATTTGACATCAGAAATAACTTAGATGAGATTATTTCCTTGTATTTTTTACTCTTAGGATATGTGGAGTCACATTCTTTTCCATAATGAAAAAAAATTAATAAAATGCTCCAGAAACAAATGGACCACAATTCCACCCATTCAAAATAATTGCAAGGAGAGTTGGCCTGAATCTGGAAACAAAGAAAATGTTAAAAGAGGCACCATATGTTCACTTTCAACTTGAGGGCAGTAATGAGGATCCACTTTCAACAACAGTCTACCTATGCAAGGGTCCTGCTGAGACCCTTATGATGAACAGAACATGTTTATTTCCTATTCTGTTGATTACTGATGCGACTGCTGATGTGGTTTTAAAAGTGCTTGAGAATAGCAGTTTATTATAATAAGTTAAACATTCCTTCTCTGCTCCACCACCAGATCTTGTTTAAACCAAGATTTCCTTTATGAAGTAACTTTCTTTCCTAATGTTATGAATTAATTATCATGTCAAATAAATAAAATCACCCATGTTCATGAATTCACATGGAAAGTATGTGGGGTATTCTTTTTTAATAAATCTAAAAGTATCAGGTTAGCTCAGAGTTAGATGGTAAGAAAAAGTAATGCATTTCAGGGTAGCTTTTTCCCTTACATTTAATTTATATTTCTCTTATCTCTCTTATATTTCTCTTGCTGTCAAGTATATGCACAATCTAATAAAGCATGAATGGAAAGTAACTCTGAGGCTTTGATTATATGAAAATATCTTTAATTTTGTCCCTGACACTTTGGCTGGTTGTAGAATTTAGGTAAAAAAAAAAATTTCTTCTTTGCTAAGATCAGTAAAAACATTACCGAAAACATTTCTGTGACCCAGAATTGCCAGTGAAGTATGGTTTCATTTTGTGAAAACAACTTATGTTTCTTTATAAGAGGTCACTACTTTCTTTCTGGAAATTTAAAGAGCTTCTGTGCATCCTTGGTGTTCTGAAAATTCACAAGTTATATACAAAGTATTTCAAAATATATATATTTTGTTCAGCAGTTTATAGGCACCTTAAATCTTAAAACATATGTCATTCAGCCATTCAGCTCTAGAAAGGTTAGTATTTATAAATAATTTTCTTGATAGTTATTATTTAACCTCCATGTTTTATTTTATCTTCTTTTTTAGAGATTTCTTTTATCATATATTACACCTTCCAGATAGGTAATATTTTATCTCTTTTTGGTCATATTCTTTCTCTCTCTCTCTTTTACACACACACATGCACACACTCACACACACACGCACACACTCAAGCATGATACATGATAGAGGGCAGCAGCCCTCTATTTCAGAAAATCAAAAACTTCTAAAACTTACAAACTTCTTATTAGGACCCTCACATGGTAATCCTAGCAGACATTTAGAAGAGAAAAGTGAAAATTGGTTGAGGCCAATTGTAATGCCTTAGTTGTAAAATCACATCATTGATCCATTCAGAATGTGAGTTTTGAGTACTAAATAAGAAATTCCAAAGCCCCACACACCCTCTCTTTCTACTATGAACAAGAATTTCTCTGGAGGTTTCAGCCAGTGTAATATGGCAAGAAATAATATATAGAGCTTTGAATGGAAGGAGAGGGACACGTTTTTATTGTTTCTAGGTGATTAAATTATCTACTCAAGTAATGCATGGAAATTAATTGGAAATGGAGAAAACTATTATAACAAGCTAGGAATTTGAGTTGAGTGGCCTCAGATAGGAGCAGGATATAAACATCATTGTAAAAAATATTGCATGTGTACCAATGTAGAGAGTGGAATGATGGACCATGAAAATTTGGAAGGGTGAGCCAGCAGGAGGGAGTAGGATTATGAGAAATTACAGAAGGGGTGCCGTATACATTGTTTGAGTGTTGAATACCCTAAAAGCCCTGATTTGACCACTACACAATCTATGTATGTAACAAAATTGCACAGGTACCCCATAAATTTGTACAAAATAAAATAAAATGCAAATCTAAGCAAACTTTTAATACTCCATGTAATAATAAAAATGGCATAGCTAAAAATGAATCTAATAAAATTTTAACAGACCTTTTGTAACAGGAAAAAACTTTATACTCATATATATGGCTGTGAGTATTTTATTTAAATCACAAAAATAAAGAGCCCATACTGAAGGTATCTTTTTTTTTTTTTCAAGCTGAAAATGCAAAACCCATATAGAAAGGACCTGGTATGGAATAAGAGAGAAATGAGGAAAGAAAGTAAAAAAGTAAATTATAGCACAAATAATTCAAAAATATAATAAAGCATAAATTTCTCATTATTTATCTTCTCCAAACTTTCATCAAGGCAAAACCGTAATGAATTTGACTAATTTGTTTTTATATTCCCTCATTCTCTGTTTTGTTTTTGTTTTTTGTTGTTTTTTTTGTTTTTTTTTGTTTTTTTTACAGAGGGATTGATAACAAATAAGAAACAACAGAAGAGAAGGAAGTTAAAAAAGTTGGGAGTTTATATAACCCACAATGTACATTATTAGACTTCACACAGTTGCAGCTTGACAACTCAAATTTATGCTGTCAATTATCAGAAAGAAAAATAATAAAGTAAAATGAAATTTAAGGTAAAAACCAACAAAATTCGGCTGGACCTGGTGGCTAATGCCTGTAATCCTATCATCTTGGAAGGCTGAGGCAGGCTGATCCCCAGAGGTCAGGAGTTTGAGACCAACGTGTCCAACATGGTGAAACCTCATCTCTACTAAAAATACAAAAATGAGATGGGCGCGGTGGCATGCGCCTGTAGTCCCAGCTATTCAGGAGGGTGAGACAAGACAATTGCTGGAGCCTGGGAGGAGGAGTTTGTAGTGAGCCGAGATTGAGCCACTGCACTCCAGCCTGCAAAACAGAGAGAGACCTTGCCAAAAAACAAAAACAAAAGTCTATAATTTAGTTGGTTAAAGAAAACTAACGTAAAACAACAGCAGCTCGGCATGTAAGTAGCATATGTATTTGTTTTCATTGTCAACATTTTTACATATGATAGAAATGAAGCCAACTAGGCCGGGCGCGGTGGCTCATGCCTATAATCCCAGCACTTTGGGAGATCGAGGCAGGCAGATCACCTGAAGTCAGGAGTTTGAGACCAGCCTGGCCAACATGGTGAAACCCCGTCTCTACTAAAAATACAAAAAATTAGCCGGGCCTGGTGGTGTGTGCCTGTAATTCCAGCTACTCAGGAGGCTGAGACAGGAGAATCTCTTGAACCCGGGTGGCAGAGGTTGCAGTGAGCCAAGATTGTGCCACTGCATTCAGCCCGGGAAACAAAAGCGAAACTCCGTCTCCAAAAAAAAAAAAGAAAGAAAGAAAAAAAAAAAAAGAAGAAGCCAACTTTTAATTAAGATGAATTAGTTAGATATTTTGTTTGGGATTGCTCTAAACTTCATTCTGCTCTATTCTATTTACTTTATTAGTCACATATTACTACTAATGCAGAGATACATGAAAGGGCAAAACAATAAAACAGATTCTCCAATCAGTCCTAATGTAAGCTTCCCAGCCATGAAATCAGCAAAACCAAAATCCTTTCCATGGCAGCCACTGAAGAGCTTCTTCTAAAGTCCTTCAAGGAGAGATAAAGCAGTGCCTGGTCATTAAACTGAGTAAAAAGGACCACATTTTTCTTCCTCTTCAACAAAGAGAAGAAGGGATTATCTGTGCACACCTGCAGCTGGGTTAATTTTGGTTTTTCTCAAATTCCCTGCCAGAAACAAAATCTTGACAAAAAATACGGAGAACACTGGTGTGCTCATTTGAAAATGAAGACATTTCCTTTTCTTTTATGAGTTCTATATCCAAAAGGTGAAGGGCAGGGATGAGAATCATCCCGTTGGGAATTTCAAAACAGGGAGACATTTTGCAAGATCTTTTTAGAATTGCACCCAAATGTCTTTTTCCACCTCTTTTTCTGAATGAATTCTAGCCATGTACTTATATGCAGTATTTTCAGATAGTGACAACATGTTTCCCAAGAGGTCATCCCTTTTAAGTTACCTTTGAAGGCAAAAATGAGAGGACAAATGATTGTTGAATTATTTGGAATTTCTAAGAGTCTAGCAAACAAACACAATATGAATTCCTGAGAAGCATTTAATTAGCATGAGGGAAGCAATTTGGTTTTCATACATAAGTGGCTCACCGTTGAGAACTGGAACAAAGATTCTCTAGATTCAAATTGGATCGCACCAAGGGGATCTTTTTATTTTTTTAGATTTAATCTCCTCTATCCTTGCAAACTTTAGTTTTTTCTACTCATTACCTGAGGCTAAGAAGCAAGTTTTAGTCTCCTATGAAAACATTTAGCCTGGATTTAGAAGCAAAATTATCATCACTAGATATAAGTTGCTGATAGGTAAAGAAAGATGTATAAAAAGACAGGAGTTGAATGCCTAAATATTCTACTTAGATATTGTGAAATTATTTGTCCAGTGCCTGTTTAGCTAAATAAATTGTTTTGCCTTGATGAAGGGGGAAAAATATAAGTACACTCCTTTGAAGATGGGAGGCGTGTCCAGAGACTTACTTGGGCAGAAACTGTCCATTTAGATATCAAACAACAAACTTTCAAAAGAAAGAATAATTCTGAATTATTCTTATCAAAGAAGACACTATTAAATTTATATATTTAATTCCTCAAATCAGAGCATTAGGTTAAAAATCTTAGAGGGCATTATTTAGCCCATGATTTTTTTAAACATGAAGGAGAATATGTATTCATTCAAAAATTATTTAGTAAATAAGTGTCTATTTTATTCTATAGGTAGAATAAACATATATATATGTATGTATTTATACAATAAATAGTAATTTTATAATTTGTATACATATATAAAAATATATATGTATGTTTTCATTCTACCCTATAGAATAAAATACTCATTTACTAAATAATTTTAGTAAATTAGGTGAGTGTGTGTGTGTATATATATATATATTTATATAAATATATACACATTGAAAACTTCTATATCTGCCCTTGAAGAAACCGCTTTCTCCTGTAGCTGCAGGATTAAGATTGCTGAAGACTAAACCCAAAATTTCAGCCTGCTAGTGGCTGAATGACCACGCAAATTGCAGTGCCTGCTTCTTAGGATGTCTACTGTGCAAGTGAGGGAAGTGATTGGGACAGAATGGGATCCTAAAGATTGGAATGGGATGTGTAAGAAGACATCAATGAAGCTGGGGACATTGAGCTCCTAAATTTGATGGGTCTTCTGTCCCTATAGAAACAGCTTCTACACTCCCTATATATATATTCTATAGAGTAGAATAAGGGCATATATATAAAATATATAATATACATTTTATATATAAATATATTATATGTAATATATTACATATTATATATTATATAAATATATTATATATAATATAGCACATATTATATATTATATATACATATATATAATATAGCACATATTATATATTACATATACATATATTATATAATATATTACATATTATATATACATAGAATAGAATATATATTATATGTTATATATAATTATATATTATATAATATATTATATTCTATATAATATTAGTATTATATAATATATTATATAATACACATATTATATACACATGTTATATAATACACATATAATATAATACATATATAATATACGTATATATAAAGTACAGCAATATGCTGTATTTAAAGTCCACTCATTTAGATGTTACTCTCATCCAAAATACCCTCATAGAACATCCAAGATAATATTTAACTACATATTTGAGTTCCATAGCCCAGCCATGTTGACACATGAAATTAACCACCATACCTTCTATTGCTGAGAGATTTATTATGAAAGGGTGTTACATTTCGCCAAATGCTTTTCTTCACCTATTGATGTTGTTATTCAATTTTTCTCATTTAGCCTGTTGATGTGATGGATTATATTAATTGATTTTCTAATGTTGGATGATCCTTGTATACTAGAGATGAATCCAATTTGGTCATAGTGTAAAATTCTTTTCTTTCATTGCTAAATTAAATTTGACAATATTTTGTTGAGAGTTTCTGCACGTATGTTCATAAGTTATATTGGTCTGTAGTTTTATTTTTTTGTACTGCCTTTTTGTAGTTTTGATATTTAGGTAATGCTGGCCTCACAGAGTAAGCCAGTAAGTATTCCCTCTGCTTCTAGTTTTTGGAAGAGATTGTAGAGAATTTGTATAATTTATTCCTTTACTGTTTGGTAGAATTCATCAGTGAACCATTTCGGCCTTGTCGTTTGGAAGGTTATTAATTATTGATTCAATGTTTTAAATACATATGGGCTTCAAGTATCTATTTCTTGTGTGAGTTTTGGTAGATGATGTCTTTCAAGGGGTTAATTCATTCATTTAAATTATCAAATTTGTGGATATAAAGTGTTCAGAATATTCATTTATAATATGCATGTAGGTAGTAATGTAATATGCATGTAGTTAGTAATGATGAAATTCTTTTATTTCTGATATTCATAACTTGTGTCGCCTCTCTTTTTTCTTGTTTAACCTGGCTAAAGTTTTATCAATTGCATTGATGCTTTTAAAAAATAGACTTTTTTTCTCTATTGTTTTCCACTTTTTTATTTCATTAATTTCTGCCCTTTTATTATGTCTTTCTTCTGCTTGTTTTAGGTTTATATTGCTCTTCTGTTTCTAATTTCTGAAAATGAAAGTTGAGGTGATTGATTTTAAATATTTGTTTTTTTCTAATGTATGTATTCTATGTTGTAAGGTTCTCCCTCAGAACTGCTTTTGCTGCATCCCACAAATTTTGGTAAATTTCATTTTCATTTAGTTCAAGTTATTTTAAAATTTCTCTGGAGACTTTTTCTTTGATCCATATTTTATTTAAAATTATGTTGTTTGATCTCCAAATATTTTGGGATTTTCAGCTGTCTTTCTGCCATTAATTTCTACTGTAACTTTATTGTATTCTGGGAGCATTCAAACTATGAATCTCAGTTTTATATATTTTGCTAAAGTATGGTCCAGAATGAGGTCTATTTTGGCAAATGTTCCATGCGAGCTTAAGAAGAATGTGTATTCTGCTCTGATTAGATAAAATATTCTGTAAATGACAGAATTAATTGCTGCTGCATTTCAGTTCAACTGTATTCTTACTGAATTTCTACCTGCACAATCATAGAAACAGGTATGTTGAACTCTCTGACTATCATAGTGAATTTGTCTACATCTCCTTGAATTTCTATTAGTGTTCTTCTTCCATATATTTACATTCTGCTCTTAGACACATACACAATAAAAATTGTTTTATCTTGTTGGGGAATTGATCCTTTTATTATTATGGAATACCTCTCATTATCCCCGAGGATAATTTCCCCTTTCTGCAAAGTCCGTTTTGTCTGAAATTAACATAGCTACTCTGTCTTCCCTTTGATTAGTGTTAATATGGTTGATCTTTCTCCATTCATTTACTTTTTATCTATCTGTGTCTTTATGTTTAATGTTTTAGACAATGAAAATTTGGGACTTCTATTTCTATTCCTTTTTTCTGTCTTTTTTATTTAGTGTATTTAGACCATTTTTATTTCCAGTGATTAATGATCTAGTTTTATTAATATCATATTTGTAACTTTTCTCTTCATTGCTCTTGCTATTTATTATTTTTAAAATTTTCCTTTCTGCCTTCTCTGGTTTTACTTGAGCATTACTTATGAGTCCATTCTTTCACTTCACTTAGCAAATCAATTATATATTTTTAAAAATTAGTGGTTATTCTAGAGTTATCAATATACACTTAAAATTAATATATCTATTTGAAAATAACACAATATCACTCTTAAAATAAAATTCGCTGAGTCCAGTGGCTCACACCTGTAACCATAGCACTTTGGTAGGCCAAAGTGAGCAGATCACTCAAGCCCAGAAGTTCAAGACCAGCCTTGGCTACATGGCAAAACCATGTCTCTACAAAATAGTAAAAAAATTAGCCAGGAGTGGTGACATATCCCTATAGTTCCAGATACTGGGGAGGCTGAGGTGGGAGGATCACCTGAGCTCCAGGAGGACAAGGCTGCCATCAGCCATGATGGTGCCACTGCACTCCAGCCAGAGTAACAAAGTGAGTCTCTGTCTCAAAATAACATCACATCACATCATGTCACGTCGCGTCGCATCACGTCACGTCACGTCACATCACATCACAACATCACATCACATCACAACATCACATCACAACATCACATCACATCACAACATCACATCACATCACAATGTCAATGTAAGTTTAACCAATTGGAAGATGCCAGCCAACTTATATAACTAGAGACTTTTCAATGGGATCAAACAGATAAGGCACCTGTATAACTGTACCTAACCAAACATTTTCTTTGTTTTGCTTCCATTTTCACTCTATAAAAGCCTTCCCTCATGCTACTTTGATACAGCCCCAAACCATTTTCGGCTTGTGCTGCCAAATTCATGAATTTCTATTTGCTTAAATAAATGCTTTAACTTTTTATTGTGACTCATTTTATCTTTCAACACCAATTCATGGTTAATGCAGGCATCTTATAACAAGGAATTCTCAATTATTCCTACTATTTTTATAGCATTTCTGCTACAAATTTTCAAATACTTTGTTGCTATTACTATACTTAACAAAGTTATCCATTAAATTAAGAATAAAAAACTAAAAGATTTTATCTTCCATTTTTCCTTCTTTAATAGTTTTCTTTATGGGTATCTATCTGAGTTGAATTTTATCTTTTTTCTTTTCTCCAGTGAATATCTCTTAACATTTCTTGCAAGGCAGGTCTATTGGCAATGAATTCTCATAGTTCTTTTTTGTTTGAGAAAAATCTTTATTTCACCTTAACTTTTGAAGAATGATTTCTTTGAGGACTGAATTCTATATTAGTGTTTTATTTTCTTTTTTCAATTCAATACTTTTATTTCACTTTTTCCTTTCAATACATTTTATTCCACTCTCTTCTTCTTTGCACTGATTGTGAAGATAAGTCCAATGTAATTCTTGTTATTCCTTTTATATAGGTAAGATTTTTTCCCGTGGTTAATTCTTTGAATATTTTCTACTTGTCTTTGGTTTTCTGCAATTTAAATATGATATGCCCTGGTGTAGATATTTTGGTGTTTACCATATTCGATTTTCTCTGCACTTCCTGGTGTATAATTAATTTTGGAAAATTGGTGGTGTGTAATTAATTTTTGAAAATTCTTATCCAATATTATTTTAAATATTTCTTCTTTTTATTTTTTTCTCTTTTGATATTCCCCTATCCATCATAATTATTTGATTGTTCCACAATTCTTTGATAGCCTGTTCTGTTTTATTTCATTCTTTTTCTTTTTGTATTTTCGTTTGTGTGGTTTCTATTCACATAGCTTCAAGCTCACTGGTTCTTTTCTTGGCTGTGTCTAGTCTACAAGTGAGACCATCAAAAATATTCTTTATTTCCGTTAACATGTTTTAATTTGTAGCATTTATTTTTGATTCTTCCTTAGAGTTTCAACCTACATTACCTAGTTGTTATTGCATGTTGTCCACTTTTTCCTTCATATCCCTTAGCATAGCCGTCAGTTATGTTTAGATCTTGTCTGATATCTGAGTGTGGTTTTGATGCTTGCTTTGTCTCATGAGATTGTGATGTCTTTCTTGTTACTTAGCATGACTTGTAATTTTCTCATTAAAATTCAGACATGATACTTTGGGAAAAGGAACTGAGGTAAACAGGATTTTGGTGTGGTTTTTATGTTTTACTGGCTAGGCGTTAAACTGTGTTTAATATTTGCTATAGCTGAAGTTTCAGAAACTCACATTTCTTCTACAGTCCTTGTTTTTGTCTCTCCTGCTATCTTTGGATTTCCCTAGAAACTACCTCTTAAATAGAGTCTGTGTCTTGCAACTCTTGCAATTTCAGTCCACTCTTATTATCCTGGAGCCCCAATTTGTTGGTAAGATATTGGGAGAGCCAGGGGTCTATAATCTTATGATTAAACCTCCACTTTTTGTCATGGACTGGGCTGTGACTTTCATCTTAGCCTTTTTCCCCCCTTATGTGAGACAGGAAAGCTAGAGGAAATTGCCCTTCCCCAGATGAGATAAGACTTTAGTAAAGTAGTGCCCCCTGAGGATTGGTCTTCATTACAGAGAACAAAGAAAGGACAAAATACTGTGGCTCTATGTCAAAATCATTACTTTCCCCCGAGCACATTTCAAATTATTATTTTTCCCCTTCCCCTGATGGAATTAAGAGGAGATTTTCTCAGATCCTCATGGTAAGGACTTGCTGGGTCTCTTTCAGGTAAAACTCAAAAAAGTGTGGGAAGCCCCCTTAAGACTGGGCATTCCCCAGGAATTGTGAGCTCTCAACTTAGACCACACGGAGCCTCTAGTAATTCAACAATTAAAGTTTAAGTGTTCCTGTTGGTGCTGGCTCCAGCAGCATATTTCTGCTCTTGAAATTCAGTTTCTAGAAAGCTGTGGTTCTCTGTAGCCACCTCTCTCTCTTCAGGTTTTGCAGCCATTTTCTGATAGACCTAGAAAAGTGGTTGTCTTTCCATTTGTTCAGCTTTTTTTCTTGCTGCTAGCATGAAGGGACAACTTCCAAGCCCTTTACAGGTCAAAGAAGAAGCCAGAAATCCCAAGGATGGATCTTCAATAAATGATGCTGGAAGAATTGGAAACCACAGGCCAAGGGGAAAAAAAACAAGAAGAAGAAGCCTCAACCTAAATCTTATCAATTATACAGAATCAACTCAAAATGGACCATAGATTTAATTGTAATGGGTGAAACTATGAGGAAAAAAAAAACCAGAATTTTTTTTTAATTTTTAAAAATTATTTTATTTTATTTTTATAGATTTAGGGAGTAAAAGTGTGTGATTTCTTACATGCATGTATTGTGTAATGGTGAAGTCTGGGCTTTTGTGTACTCATCACCTGGGTCTTTAAAAACAGAAAGTTTTTAGGACCTAAGACTGAGCAAAGAGTTCTTAGACCTGTATCAAAAAATACAACCCATAAAAAGAAATACTAACTGAACTTCATCAAATTTAAAACTTCCCTTTTTAAAAATCTCCATTAAGACAATAAAAATACAAACTTCAGACTGGGAGAAAATGTTTGCAAACCACATATACAATAAAAAAAAATGTATCTAGAATAGAAATAGAACTCAATGCTCAAAGATTAAAAATAAACACAAAAACAAAAAATCTAATAAGCAAATGGGCAAAAGACATCAAAAATAAACATTCATCAAAGAGAATACATGAATGGCAAATGAGTGCACAAAAAGTGTCCAACATCATTAGGCACTTTAGTCATTAGGGAAATGTAAATTAATACCACAATGCAATATCACTGTATACCTATTATAATAAATAAAATTTAAAAAGCAATCATAGAACTAAATGTTGGCAAGAATGTTGAGAAACTGGATCACATATATATTGCTGGTCGAAATGCAAAATGATACAGCTAGTCTTGAAAAGAGTATGGCATATTCTAGCAAAATTAAACATGCATTTACTGTAAAACCCAGCAACTGTACTCTTAGGCTTTTATCCCAGATAAATGAAAACTTACATTTATATAAATACCTATGCACAAATGTTCATAGTAGCTTTATTCTTAATAGCCTCAAATTGAAAACAATCTCGATGCCCTGAAACAGATGAACAGTTAAACCAATTGTGATATATTCATGCCATGGATTACTACTTGAAAATTACAAAGGAACAAACAATACATGCAACAATTTAGATGGATCACTAGTGAATTAGGTTGAGTGATAAAAGCTAATTTCAAATTGTTACATATTGTGTAATTCCGCTGATATAGCAATCTTGAAATAACCAAATTTTAGAGATGGAGAAGATGTTAATTGTTGTCAGGGGTTATTGAGAAGGGATGGTAGGAAAGTGGCTGAGGTTATAAAATTGTAGCATGTGGAATCCTTATGTTGGAACTGCAGTGCTGATACACAGATTTACGCATGACAAAACTGCACTGAAATACATATACATATGTGTGCACATACACACATATGCACACACACAGAAATGAGCCCATCTAAACTGGTAAAATCAAAATAAAGTCAGTAAGTTGTATCAATAATATATGCATGGTTATAATATTATACCAGAATAATGCAAGATGTTGTCTTTGCAGGAAATTAGATGAATATTATACAGGAACTCTCTGTATTATTCCTTAAAACTGCATGTAAATCTACAATTATCTTACACATACACACACACACACAAACACAGACACATATGTATATGATGGAGTATTATTCAGCCTTAAAAAAGAATGAAATTCTGATGCATGCAACACAGATGAACCTTGAAAACATGCTAAGTAAAATAAGCCAGACACACAAAAATGCAAATATCATTTCATTCTTCTTATATTTAGTACCTAGAATAGTCAAATTAATAGAAATGAAAAATATAACAGAGGTTACCAGGGACTGGGAAAAAGAAATAATGGACAGTTATTACATAAGGGATATAGAGCTTTAGCTTGGAATTGTAAAAATTCTAGAAAGGAAGAGCAATTACGATTGCACAACTATGTGAATGTACTTATGGCACGGAATTGTACACTTAAAATGGTTAAAATGGTAAATTTCATGTTATGGACATTTGCCACAATGAAAAACTACAATTCTCTCAAAATAAAAAGTTTAAAAAGAGGGGTGGGGAATGAGAACGTTAAAAATAACACAGAGACAATTAGTCTAAAGTATTGAAATTTTATTCATGTATAATTTTACAAGAGGAAGAACAGCACCTGTGGACAGCACCTCCTAGCCCCAAGGCAAGTGTGGGATTGAGAAAGAATAAAGTCACACAAATCCAAAGAAAAGGATGACTAGTTATTTAATGCTTGGGTTCAAGATTGGTTAGCATAGTGGAGCTCAACATTGTGATTTCTGAACCCCAAGTTATTGGGTTTTAGGGACAGTGTTGACCCAATAAATCCATTAGTCTGAGCCCAGATTACCTACTAGGATCACAGACCACAAAAAGTTTTCCATCAATATGTTTTTATGCTGATCATGATCAGCTCTTTTTAAAGAAGTGGTTGCCATTATTTTCTTCTGCAAGCTTGGAAGCTCATGCAGCCCCTAAGTCAGGAAGGAGCAGAGTCCCCAAGCTAACGCTTAAGGCTCAGTGGAAAATTTCTTTATTACTGCCTTCAGTCACCAAAGTTGGTTTGGGGTAGCTTCCCCATAAGCAGTTTCCTTCAGTTTACAGTTTAGTTTAGAATCATCAGGAGAGCTTTAAAAAATACTGGTGACCGGGTCCCACCCCTACAATTTCTGCCGTAATTGGTTTTGATATGGCCAAGGTCTTGGGATTTTTAAAAGCTCCCTACATAATTCCATTTTGTCTTTATGCATCACTTGAGAATTACTGATGTATAAAGAGTGAAAAAAGCTGAAGTTTATTATACTGGAAAAGGAATACCTCTTTTTGCCTGATACTTCGGTAAAAAGGGGGCATTTTCCTTATCTGGCAATATCTACTATGTCCTTCACCAATCCATTCCGAAATCTAAAAAGCCTCATTGAAAACTAAATTTTCACTGTAATGAACCTGATGACCTCATGCTGCAGCAAAAGCATAGTCCCTCTTGTCCCCATGGGTGATACAGAACAGCTGCCAACCATCCTTCTTCCCATGAGCTGCTAGACACAAATAACAGCACAGCTCTACGTGTGTGTATTGTGCTGAATAAAAATATACAGAGGAAGCTGGTGAATTCTTTTTCCTATTCAACAAATTTATTAATTTGTTTAAACTCCCAGAAGCCTGATCCTTTCACAGGAGCACAATAAGTTAATTGCCTTCTTATGTTTAAACAGCATCAATAGTGGGGCACAACCATGGATAGTGCCTTTTTAATATCCTGTGGTGTAGATGTGGCAGGAGGTAGTTAAATTGAGGGAATTCTTACTAAAGCAATCAAATGGAGGTTGTTTTTAATGCGGTGCCTTGGAGCTATACGAGCTTCTTTACAGCCAAGTTATGCCCAAAATGCTTCCTTGCGTAGATCTTACTAGTTTCAAGGTGAAATAGATTACACTGGAGAGTTGTAGAAACTCCGACATCAAAGACACTTGGCTGCCTTTCTCAGACACATGGATGAGAACAGTGCTCTTGCACTCAGCTGAGTTACATCTGCCTACAACGTGAGATGTTTTTCATTCATTTGTTTAGCTCAGGAAGGGAACTAACCACGGTTGTCCATTTACCTTTTCACGTAACAGATATTTACTAAGCCTCTGTTATATGCTAGGTGCTATGCAAGATCTTGGAGTTAAAACAAGACTGGCAGGGTATTAATCCAGGGGAGAAAAAAATCTATACATATTAGAACCTGATGTCTAGAAGTCAGCCTCCCTGGTTCTGCAGCCAGGCTCTACAATAAGCGGTGCGTAATTTCTCAGAGAGTCAGTCATTTCATCATAACACTGGGTAAATAATGGATTCTTCATTACAGACAGTAGAATTATTAGGAGGAGTAAATGGAATAACAGATGAGAACGGCTTAACAACATGCTAAGCACTTTATGTTACCTATTATTTCTATTATTCTTACCTATTGTCACTGTTTATTTACCTAAGTAAATAAGATTAGCTGTTTACAGACATTAATATCAGTGGTAATTAATCAAAAACACTTTCATTTTTCAGTGTAGATGTGGATATTTTGATATTTAAGAGAAAAAGCATGAATAATGTGCTACCATCAAAATGAAAGTAACAGATCAAAAAATTGTATGTATAAGACTTCAGTGGAGTTTTGCACACGTGTCCGTCTCTTAGAAAGCTCTGATTTAAATGATCTGACATGAAGAGATTCACCTGAACTTGACTTAATCCTAGATGAGGAAGTTAGCTTTGTACTTTTTTAGACTTTACTCTGTTTTATGGTCACAACCAGCTTTTATAACCACAGATATACATGTGGAAAATGACTTCTTACATTTTCAGTCAAAGAAAATTGACATAATCCCAGCTCTTAAGAGATGTACTTCCTGAGATTTCAGTGTCTGTGAATATTGTGTTGAAATATGTGAGAACAACATAAGATAGCTCACTTCTTCTTGTCCACAGACTTGGTGGCATAAAGAGTTGGTGTCTAAAATGTTGGGAATGAAGAAGTAGAAGGGTGGTTGTAAAGGAGGCAATTAACCCTGGAGAAGTCTGGATACCAATCCCGAGTTAGCTATACCACTAATAAACTGTGTGTAATGAGACGGGCAATGTATATTTAGAATTTACTGTCTTCATCTCTAAAAAAGAAGAGATTAGACTTCTACATCTAACAATCTGTGATTCCTTTAGACCTGGTATTTTCATGTAATTTGATAGAACACTAGACAGTGGTTTAAGCAAGGAGAGAATTGTATTCCAGGTATAAACACAAGACCTGGATGAAGATTAATGCATTAATACTTTGCAGCAGCTGTGAGTCTCCCAAGCACTTTCACTCAAGATTTTTCAGCAAGGTGTATATTAGGAAAGGGCAAATCAGGTGCAAGTGTTTCATAATTGTCAGATACATAAATATATACCTTGTGATGTAGCTTGCAATTTTTATAGAAAAAAATAATTCTGTAAGTAAATACACAATGTTAATGACTTATAAGTAACTTTGAAGTAAATAATTATCTTCAAGTTGGCCAAAGATCTTTGTTATCTACCCAAAATTATTAACCTATTCTGAATAAAGGGGTTATGTCTGCTTAGTGCAGGTTCCCAACACATACTATGGTTTTCACAGGGCAATTTTCTTGTGTAGTTTACAATTATTTTATTTTGTCACAGCCCAACTTCAATAGCAATAAAAATCTCTGTAATAAGTGTACATGACTTTCTATTGCAATCATCCTACAAAAATAGAATAGACCCCTACCAAATCTGAACCAAAATTTGGCTCAGACACCGGGATTAATGACACAGCAAACATATACCAAGAGGGAAATAAAATGTTTATTACTTATGGGGCTCTATGATCATTACAGGGTGGGCTTCCCAAGTAGGTCCAAAAATAGCCTGAAAAACCAAGAGAAGAAGACGCAGGTGGAGTTTTTAATGGTATTTAGGGAATGGAATTGAAACGAGGTTTCCACAAGCAGGCAGGGCCTTGTGTGGTTTGTATCTCCTCTTGGCTCCAAAAGAGGGAGTATCTGGGCTTTTCCAGCTCGCTCAGATGTGGGGCAGAAAGGTAAGAGAGAAGGGTGAGGCTTAAAAGCTGTTGGCTGTCAACTACACAAAGTAAACTCAGACTTATTATTCCACTTTCTACACAATTAATTTTTCATTAAAAAGTCCAGATGGAGAGTTCATCAGGTTCACTCAAATTATCAACAGATATACTAAAATATGTCTAATGCATGATTTGGGTTTGCATTATTTTATTGAAATTTTGCAGCCCTCGATTATATTAGTTGTGAGCGATTTAAAAAAATATATTTTGCAAAGATGCTATTTATTGATCTTGACCTTCTCTAAACCTTTTCTTGCCCTGCCTCTTCCCCAAGCTGTGTAGGCCAATGAACTAGTCCCACTCACTGGGGCAAGATAACTGAGCACCCACAAAACTGGATCGATATTCACATATTTTGTGTAGTCAAAATTACAGAAAGGTACAGAAATGAGGGGCTTTGCATAAGCTATAAATCACTTTTCCTGCAGTCCTATGCCAATACAAAGTTACTTTTATTTGTTTCCTTTTAGCTCATTTTTGAGGTGATACAAACTGCTGGACCATCTTTGGCAATGTATTAATTGCTTTAATAATTTGATACATTGCTTCCAATATCTTATAAACAAATTCTTTGCCATTTCTATTATTTTAATATTATACACATATATTGCTTGAGACTGCATGGGTGTTTTCATGTTTTAGTTTTCTTTTTTTTTTTTTTGAGACGGAGTCTTGCCCTGTCGCCCAGGCAGGAGTACAGTGGCGCAATCTTGGCTCACTGCAACCTCCGCCTCCCTGGTTCAAGTGATTCTCCTGCCTCAGCCTCCCAAGTAACTGGGATTTCAGGTGCATGCCCGGGTAATCTTTTGTGTTTTCAGTAGAGACGGGGTTTCACCATGTTGGCCAAGCTGGTCTTGAACTTCTGACCTCGTGATCCACCCGCCTCGGCCTCCCAAACTGCTGGAATTACAGGCTTGAGCCACCATGCCCGCCCTGAATTTAAAGCTTTTTAGAGATAAGTAGTCCCATTGTTCTTCAACTCTTGCAGCTGATGTCCATAAGTGATTACAGAAAGAGTTTCAACAAGATATTTAATGATAATAACTGATAAAAAGGAAAGAAGACAAAAGTAAAGACTACTTGTGGGGGTTCATTTAAAGTATAGAAAAGCTACACACTTATAATTTATGCCCATAATTTGGTTTGGTCTTATATAACATAGCCTATTAAGAATATATAAAAATGTCATATATGACAGAGAAGAGAAATCAAATAAAAAACAGAAAGCAGATTGAAAATATCTTATATCAATACTTGATGAGGGTGTACAATGTAATTCCACATTTACTTTGTACCATATTTCATAAACGTAGAGTCAACGTTGTCCACATTCATTACTGTACTGTACTTTGTATATTCATTACTGCACCATACATTCATTCAGTACTGTACTTCATAAACGTGGAGTTCAGTGGGAAGCATCAAAGTAAACACATGGCCTTTATAACAGACTTATTTTTCTGGCATCTTTACAAAAATGATCTATAATCCTTGTCACCCACAAACCAATACTCATAGAAAACAGCGTAAATTGTATCCCTACCACCCAGATTTTGGTCTCTAATTCAATTAACTTCTAAATGTAAACAGGAGAATAGTTGATTCAATGTAGTAGAACAGAGAAAACCAAGATAAGCAGGAACAACTTGTTGCCACCGTGCAAAAATATTGTCATACAGGTCTAAAAGAACAAAGGAGCTAGCTAAAAAAGAGGTTCTCCCTGGACAAGTTGTGAAGATTTCTGATTTTGAAAGAAAATCACATTTTGTGAAAAGTCACAGTTCATAATGATACTCAAAAGAAAAAGATAATATGAGATATGCTAGAAAAAAAGATATAAAAGTTTCCAATGATTTTAACAGCTAATTCTGTATTGATACAGGCCAGCTATACGTGGCATGGTATTTATGCTTTAGTATAACCTTTGTTTATACAAAGTTAATAAAGTTTATACCATTTTGCTACTTTGTGTATGTTTTAAGAGGTTTAAAAAGCAGATGAAGATCTTACCAATTACATTCCTAAATTAGATTAAATACATGTACAAGACTTGCTTAAGTGCTTGGGCAGATTTTTTCCTTCTTTGATTGTAAGCCTGACTTATTGGGTAATTTTAATATTTGAGAAAATCAGATATATTATATTTGTGACTGTAGTATGAAATGCTCATAGAAATCTTATTTAGGTCACTATTACTAAATGTTTGCAGCGTATTTAATCGAATAAACTTATTAACTCATTAGACTAGTGAGAGTAATTGATTTCTTATGAATAAAACATATTTGTAAATTGAAGGCTTAAGGAAAACTAAAGTTTTGATTTTAATTTTAATAAAAGAATATTACTGAAATCACATTAACTCTTGATATATTTTCTACTCTCAAAATCTTCTTCAAAGAGTCTAATCCAAAATTGTTTGCTAATACCAGACCGTTTCACTACTTACAAGTAGTTTTATACGATGCCATATCCTTCATTATGCCAGATTACATCTTTCCCTATAGATTGTCATCTCCTTGAAGACCTTTGCCACATATCTTAGCACAGTGTCAGGAATATCACAGGTGCCCTCACAGCTCTGAAATTTCATTTGTCAAAGTCACCCAACAAGCCAGATAGGTGTTGCTAAATCCAATGATCAATTTCAGTCTCAACTTACTTGAATTCCCAGTAGAGTTACCCCAGGTGTTCATTTTACCCTTCTTTAAACACTATCAGGACACCAAAACCTTTTGGTTTTCTTCCCCCTCCCCAGCTTTATTGGGGTTTAACTGATAAATAAAGTTTTGTAAATTTAATATAAGGTGTACAATATGATGATTGGATATATGCGTATCTTGTGAAATTATTACCACAATCAAGGTAGTTAACACATTCATCACCTCACTTAGTTATAATTTGTTTGCTTTGTGGTAAGAACATTTAAGATAGACTCTCTTAGCTAATTGACAGTTTACAATACAGTACTGTTAACTGTAGTCACCATGTTTCTCCTGGTTTTCTTCCTAACCCAATGACCCCTCCTTCTCATTTCCCAATGCTGGCTTTCTTCACCTCTCTAAACACTGGAGTTCTCTGGGGTTCACTCTTCTTCATGTCACTACGAAAATCATGTCTAAATGGACTGGAATCATGGGTCTACAATCCTCTGAATTCTACTAGTACTAAGCACTGGATGAGTGATCAATCACATTATAAATAGGCAAGAAGTCTTTATCCTGTTTTATGTGTCCTCTCACATGGTCTGCGGTTGCCTCTCCAACCTCATCTCTGTTGCTTGTCACTCTTGGCATTTCTGTTCCAGGAACACTGACCACCTTACAATTCATCATTCAAAGCAAACTGCTTTCTGCCTCACCATGTCACTTTGTTACTTCTTCCGTGGATGAAATAACAGGGATCCATCTTGCTAGATCCCTCTCCCTGTAAGTAACAAATTTTGTTAGTTTCTTTAATTTCTCCTTAGTTTTTTATTTAGTGTACGGATAGATAGAAATATTAACAGATAATAGAAAATCTTGTCCTTTCTCACACATATAATTTCCTGACATTTATTGCATTATTTATTAGTTTAATTGAAGTATAAGCTAATTGAAGTATAAGCTCCAAGAAACCAGAGAATTTTTAAGTTTTGTATTATTACGAGCCTCATCTACTTGGCATTTAGTAATTGCTCAAAAAAATTTGTTAAATAAGCTGAATGTGGTAGAAAAAGAAAGGTAGGGATATTTAAAATTGGACAATTAACTTCTAATACGAATTAATGTTACTTTTTGATTAAATTCTTTTTGGGCTATTACCTGTAATTTTTTTAGAGGAATAAACAATAGCCAGCCATGGTGGCTCATGCCTGTAATTCCAGCACTTTGGGGGCTGAGGTGGGAAGATCCCTTGAGGCTGGGAGTTCGAGCCCAGCCTGGGCAACATAGCAAAACCCCATTCCTACAAAAAATTCAAAAATCAACCAGACATGATGGTGTGTGTCCATAGTCCCAGCTACTCAGGAGGCTAAGATGGAAGGATGACTTGAGCCCAGGAGTTTGAGGGTTCAGTGAGCTATGATTGTGCCACTACAGTCTGGCCTGGGTGACAGAGAGAGACCTTGTCTAAAAAAAAGTAATATAAGTTAATATTAATAAATAAATTAATAAATAAATTAATAAATAATAAAATCAAAAGCTCATATTTCACCAAGATAAAAACTCTTGAAAAAGAAATAAACAATAAATAAACAACAAAGAAACAAAGAGTATGCATTATATGTGCCTTGGATATCAATTAGAGTCCTAGAATTTATTTTTAATTATTATGTAGCACAAATTCTAGCTATCTACTGATTGCATGGCATGTGCCAAATGCAGTTCTATATAAATTGTCCTTCTTTAATCCTCACAAAACCTATATGATGTACATATTTTTATCCTCATTTTGTTGATGAGAAATAGAAACTTGAAATAGACCCCACAGCTACTAGGTGAAAAAGCCTGGTTTTGATCTTGAGCCTTCTTGCTACAGTGCCCATGTTCTTTGAACTCTATAACCCAGTATTTCAGAGAAGTACTAGGTTTTCAAAAATTACTTTCATTTAGGGAGTGTCATGTAAAGTTCAAATTAAGCATTGTCTAATAGAAATAAAATATGAGCTATGTATGTAATTTTAAGTTTTCAAGCAGACACATAGATAAAAATATTAATTTTAATAATGAATTTTATTTAATAAAATATACACAAAATATTTCAGCATGTAATCAATATAAAATTATTAATAACACATTTGCATTTCTTTTTGCATGTTAACTTTTTGAAATCTAGTTTGTATTGCATATTTACAGCATATCCCAATTTGATTAGCCACATTTCAATGCCTGTAAATGGCTAGTGGTTATGTGTGGGATAATGCAAATCTCTTCATGTAATTCAGTACATTCAATGTCCTGGTTTCATTTTTTTCTGTATTACCTGCAGTGCTCTGAATAGATCTGCTTTTAATATATTTATTGTTAGAATCTAGGTACCTCAGGATACAATATTAGCTAAAAAGAAAAATCAAAAGCTCACATTTCACAAGGTTAAAAACTCTAGCTCCTCCCAGTTTCCAGAGTGGAGATTTAGGACCAAATACTCTAATTTGAAAGATATTTGTCAGCTGTTTAATCTGTTGCCTATGTGGTAGGTGAACTGTTACTTGTTAGACTGCAGCCTTTTTGTCCTTGCAGTGCCTATTGTAGGAATATAATACTCAGTTTTGAGTAATTTCTAATATTCTACTTTGCCTATCATAGTACGAATATGATTTATCATATTATATTCGACTTTACCTATCATGGAAGAAGAATTGTGTTTCAGTTATCAGATCTGATTTACCAAGGTATGAAGGCTAGTCCACCCATGCAACCCAACTAGAAAAAGAGATGGTAGACAGAATGGTCACACTGGTGGTACGCAAGATCCACCATGAGAGACAAATCAGTGGGCAAAGTTTTGAGAAACAGGATATTGACACAATCCCAAAGTACCCACCCCCTGAAGATATTTACTCATTACAAAGGGAAAAATAATAACGTTAGAGTGAAATGATCAAGTAATTAGGACTAACATCATCAGTAATGAGACATCTCAGCCTCATGCATGAGCTCACCTAATCATAAGAACACATCAGACAAAAATTAATTGAGGATAATTCTACAAAATATCTGATAAGTGCTCTTGAAAAGTCCCAAGGCCATGAAAGACAAGGAAAAACCAAGCAATTGTCACAGATGGAAAAGACTAAGAAGACAGAGATGAAATGCAATGTGGGATCCTGGATTGGATCCCAGGCCAGGAAAACAACATTAGTGAAATAATTAGCAAAATTTTAACAAAACCTGTTACTTATTTATTAGTATTTCACCAATGTTCATTTCTTAATTAATTTCTTAGTTGTACTGTGATTCATGCAAAATGTTAAAATTAGAAGAAGCTGGGGGATCAAGGTATATGTAAACTCTCTGCACTATTTTATAACTTTTCTGTAAATATAAAACTATTTCAAAATTAAAAGGTTTTTCTCTTGCCAAAGGCAAATATTTGAACAATTATTTGCTAAGTGTTCTTTCCATTTGCCATTCTACTCTTTGTCAGTACCTATTTATCATTGGAATAAATTATTCAAAGGAGTTAAATAAGCATAGCTAATTATATGATATTGTGCAGGCAAAATAACCTCTTCACTTAATTTTTCACTTTTTAAATAGCTGTTTATGTTGTTTAACCTCAACCCAAAAGAGTCTTAAGAAGGTGATACGTCTTTCTATTCCCAAATATTTGTACACTCATACAACTCCTACCCAACTACATTACCTTTGTTAGGCTCTTATTTATTACGATATAAGGTATTTTTAAAAATATCTTATCATGGTATTTTATTAACTTTTCCTGAGCTTTTTTGGAAGAATGACTCTTCTAAATAGGTAATAAAGTGTTATACAAAGTGGTTTTGAAGAAAGAGTAACTCTCACAACTTATTTAAAAAGTGTGAATGCTATTCAATGGAGGAAGAATGAAAGTAAGCACTGTTACCATTATAGGCAGTGCTTAGAAAGTTTACTCTATGCTTCTTTCTTACCTTATATATACAGGCAAAGGAGCCTCCAATTTAAAAGAAAAAAAACTGTTTTTCACACAAACGTGTTCTCTCTCTGGAGGCATTTCAGTGCCCTTAAATCTGGCTGATTTCATGTACTTCTTAACAATATTAATGTCATTCACTGAAAAAAGTGGGTGTGAAGCACTGAAGCCCACTTAAAGAAGTACAGGCAATGTGTGCTTATTCTCTACATCAAGGACATTTAAGGATGAAATTACATTCTACAGATGATCGCCTTTCTTAGGCACCAGCAATGCTTGCATCAGGCTGTGTAGCATGCACAATGGGGAATATAAACGGGCCCCACCTTGGGGTTGCTTACCATCCAAAGGGGATTCCCAGACCATCTTGGAAATCCTGTGTAATCTGACTGCAGGCTTAGTAGGCCCACCTCAATTTGCACTCCAACCACAAAGTACCTGGTCTAAAAGGGAGTATCAACAACTTGAACTTAGAGATTGAACTTGAGTGAAGACCAGGTTTAAATGATTCTTTGTTCTATTTATTTTTTCCCCACATAAATGTAAATGAGCTCTTTATAGAAGTCATAGTAAATGCACCATTTTAGGGTTTATAGAGAATGTTTATTTAAAGTACTTAAAACAACCCAGTCTGTGGGCTTGGCCTTACCTTGCAAAATAAACAACTGCCCATTTGATAACCATTAGTGCATATACAGACTTAAAGTGCAAGGACTTAACATAAAGCAGATTCAAGCATAGCTTTCTAATTATGGAGTCAGAATGATGCAGTGGGTGGGGAGCAGTGGCTAATTATTAAGACTGTCTTGCTTGGAAAGCATAATGTGATGTTTCTAAACCATTGATTATTTTTCCCCGCTTACTTATTAGGATTGTACTGATGCTCCTTCCTTGTTGTTGCTTGGAACACATAAATGTGATGTTTCTAAGCCATTGATTATTTTTTCCCCTTTTGGAGAAGTTAATTCTAAGGAGATAAGAGACAGAGAGTTTATTTGGCTTCATATTTCATGCTGAAAGCTGTTGATGTTTCCCCTTGCTTTAAGTCTATAGCTAAATAAGCAGACTGTAATGAAATATTGAGAAATTTGATGTTTCTCTGAATCCAGAGGCCTAATCAGGACTATGTGAGTTCAGTCTTCCTCTCCTCGAATATATTATTTATTTCTGGCATTATTTCTCACTCAACTATCTTTTCAAAATAATTGTCTCAGCCTCTACTGTTTCTGTGGAGAACAGAGAAGTAGTAAAGTATTGTGAAAAGAGCATGGACATTGGAGTTTGGTAGGTTCTGTATGTGACATATTAAAAATAAAAACTGCTTGAAATCCTAGTATCCTCATCTGTCAAATGGGTGGGTAATAATACTGACAACATTGTTCTAAGAATTAAATAATAAAGCATGCACAATGCACTTAAGACAGTGGTAGGTATATATAAAGCATTCAAAAATGGTAGTCATTACTGTTACAGAAGCATTAAATTATGAAATATGCTGAGCTAGCACAAACTTATTCTGTGTGTGTGGATGTATACATGTTTACATTTGCTATGTGTAATCACACTATATGTTAAAGATAGTTGATCATAGACTATTGATTGATAGGGTACTCTAGTAACTCCAATTTTCCTTCAGTTCTCAGTACTCTGGAAAAACACTTGAAGATTGTAGGACATGTGGTAACAATTTTATATTCAAAACTATGGGAGATAAATTGTCTGCCAGTTGTTAAAAATTAATGTAAAACTATGGTAACTTAAAAAGTATACTGTTACTATAATAACAGAAAGGAAATCAATAGATTAGGAAGTAGAGATGCACACATAGGCAGATAAATAGATTTTATATATAATTACTGTGGCATTTTAAAACAGTGGGAGAAAATAGATTATTACACAATATTGGGACAACTGGTTAGTAGGTTGAATAAAAAACAAAACTAGACCTTTATTAATTTTACTAAAACAAATTAAATATAAAAAGTTTTTAAAATGTAATGAAAATATGAAAGGAAAAGATGACTGAATATTTGTCATCATTTTGTGGAAAAGAATAACCTTCTAACAATGTTGTTTAAACTGAAGGTCATAATGAAACATATTGATAAATTTGAGGTTTAAAAACTAGAAATCTCATGTAACAATAAACAATCATAGACATCATAAACAAGTGAAAAGACAGATAACAAACTGAGAATCATAGTGGATATTTAAGCACCAGGCAATGAGTTAACATTTATCATATAAAGACTGTCTTTATATATCATGAATAAAAACAGGGACACTCAGGAAAAAATTAAGTGAAATATGTAAAACATGAATTCATGAAAGAAGATAAATAAAAAGGCTAGTAAGCATTAAAATATGTAAATCTAATAGATAACTAAAAGTACAAGTTATAAGCACCATTGAAATGTCAACTTGACTAGAATAACAGAGCAAGAAAAAGTGAACATTGGTGATGATGTCATAAAATGGTCTCCACTGATGGAGAAAATGTCAATCAATATAATTTCTGGGGACAAAGCTGTTAATCACTGTATACTTTAAAAGTGCAATGTTGTCTTTAATTGGAAATCTTTGAAGAATTTACTCTAAGAGAAACATTTTGCAATTGTAAAAAGATTTTTGTATCAGAATTTGCACTATCTTTCTTTATAATATTGAATAATTGATAATTACCTAAGTAGTAACCATTGGGAATTGAAGACATATGCCACCTAACTTTGGTTATTAAACATAATGATATAGATTTATACTGAATGACAAGAAAGTCAGGACAAGATTTCCACATGATAAAGCAGGTTTTTTCCAAAGTTCCACAGTGAGATATTCCTTATGTAAAATTGCATAACCTATAAGGTAAGAAAAAAAAGCTAACGTTTTTAGATATTGACCTTATAACAGATAACAGTGCTAAGTACTTCTGATTCTTTATCTCATTTAATTCCATTGCAATTCTGTAAGGTAGGTGTTGTGGGAAGTCAGGAACCCCGAATGGAGGGACCGGCTGAAGCCATGGCAGAAGAACGTGGATTGTGAAGATTTCATGGACATTTATTAGTTCCCCAAATTAATACTTTTATAATTTGTTATGCCTGTCTTTACTGCAATCTCTGAACATAAATTGTGAAGATTTCATGGACACTTATCACTTCCCCAATCAATACCCTTGTGATTTCCTATGCCTGTCTTTACTTTAATCTCTTAATCCCATCATCTTTGTAAGCTGAGGAGGATGTATGTCACCTCAGGACCTTGTGATGATTGCATTAACTGCACAAATTGTTTGAAGAGCATGTGTGTTTGAACAATATGAGATCTGGGCACCTTGGAAAAAGAACAGGATAACAGCAATGTTCAAGGAACAAGAGAGATAACCTTGAACTCTGACTGCCGGTGAGCCGGTCGGAACAGAGCCATATTTCTCTTCTTTCAAAAGCAAGTGGGAGAAATATCGCTGAATTCTTTTTCTCAGCAAGGAACATCCCTGAGAAAGAGAATGCGTCCCTGAGGGTAGGCCTCTGAAATGGCCACTTCAGGGGGTGGCCGTCTTTTATAGTTGAAGCTGTAGGGATGAAATAAGCCCCAGTCTCCCGTAGCACTCCCAGGCTTATTAGGAAGAGAAAATTCCTGCCTAATAAATTTTGGTCCAACCGGTTGTCTGCTCTCAAACCCTGTCTCCTGATAAGATGTTATCAATGACAATGTGTGCCCTAAACTTCATTGGCAATTTTAATTCTGCCCCGTCCTGTGGTCCTGTGATCTCGCCCTGCCTCCATTTGCCTTGTGATATCTTATTACCTTGTGAAGCATGTGATCTCTGTGACCCACACCCTATTCGTACACTCCCTCCCCTTTTGAAAATCACTAATAAAAACTTGCTGGTTTTATGGCTCAGGGGGCATCACGGAACCTGCCGACATGTGATGTCCCCCCCAGACACCCAGCTTTAAAATTTCTCTCTTTTGTACTCTGGCCCTTTATTTCTCAGAATGGCCGACACTTAGGGGAAATAGAAAAGAACCTACGTGAAATATCGGGGGTGAATCTTGCCTGATATCTGGCTGAATTTCCCCCATAGGTAGGTACTGCACTTTTTCTTATTTTAAAGATAAGAAATCTGAGGCCTAGAGGGTTTGCTTATTTTTTTCTTTTATACTTCAGAGCCTATGGTGTGTGTGTGTGTGTGTGTGTGTGTGTGTGTGTGTGTGTGTTTGTGTGATCTGTCAGTCTGTTTAACTAAATATTTTCTAACAGTGGTTTAAGGTACTTGCTTTTTAAATAAACTTCCTTATTTGCTTTACTACATTTTAAAAAATAACTAGAAGACCTAGCAAGATGAATCAGGCAAAAGAAAAAAATAAAAAGTGTCCAAACAGGAGAAGGAGAAGTCAAATTATCTTTCTTCACAGATGATATGATCCTATACTTAAGGACTCCACAAAAAAAAAAAAAAAAAAAAAAAAGGACTCCACCAAAAGGCTCTGGAAACTGATAAAGACTTCAATACAGTTTCAGGATACAAAATCAATGTAAAAAAGTCAGTAGCATTTTAATGCTTGAATAATGTTCAAACTGAAAGCCAAATCAAGAACACAAACCCATTTACAATAGACACACACACACACACACACACACACACACACACACACACACACAAAATCCTAGGAATACATCTAACCAAGGAGGTAAAAGATCTCTACAAGGAGAACTACAAAACACCACTTAATGAAATCAATAGATGATACAAACAAATGGAAAAACGTTCCATGCTCAGGGATTAGAAGAATAAAAATTATTAACATGGCCATAAGGCTGAAAGCAATCTGCAATTTCAATGCTATTTGTATCAAACTATCAAAGTCATTTTTGACAGAACTAGGAAAAAACTATTCTAAAATATGAGTCAAAAAAGAGCACGGATAGCCAAAGCAATCGTAAGCAAAAAGAGCAAAGCTGAAGGGATCACATTTAACCAACTTAAAACTCTACTATAAGGCTACAGAAACCAAAATAGCATAGTACTGGTACAAAAACAGACACACAGACCAATGGATCAGAACAGAGAACCCAGAAATAAAGCTGCACACTGACAGTCATCTGATCTTTGACAAAGTGGACAAAAAAAATGGGGAAAGTACTGCCTATTTAATAAGTGATACTGGAATAGCTGATTAGCCATATGCAGAAGAATAAAATTGTACTCTTACTTTTCGCCATATTCAAAAATTAACTCGAGGGATTAAAGATTCAAATGTAAATCCTCAAATAAAAGAATCCTAGAAGAAAACCTAGGAAACATAATTCTGGACATCAGCCTTGGGAAAGAATTTATGACTAAGTCCTCAAACTCAATTGCAACAAAAACAAAAATTGACAGGTGGGTCCTAATTAAGCTAAAGAGTTTCTGCACAGCAGAAGAAACTATCAACAGAGAAAACAGGCAACTTTCAGAATGGGAGAAAATATTTTAAAACTATGCATCTGACAAAGGTCTAATATCCAGAATCTATAAGGAACTAAAACAATTCAACAAGCAAAAAACAAATTACCCCATTAAAAAATGAGGAAAAGGCAGGAACAGATAACTTTCAAAAGAATATATATAAGTAGACAAGAAACATATTTAAAAATGTTCCACATCGCTAAACATCAGAGAAATGCAAATGAAAACCACGATGAGATACCATCTCACACCAGTTAGATGGCTATTATTAAAGAGTCAAAAAAAAAATAACAAATGCTGGTGAGGTTTCAGAGAAAGGAGAACACTTATACACAGTTGGTGAGAATGTAAATTAATTCAGCCACTGTGGAAAGCAGTTTGGAGATTCTTTAGAGAACGTGACCTATCATTCAACCCAGAAGTTCCATTATTGGGCATATATCCACAAGAAAATAAATTGTTCAGCCAAAAAGACACATGCACTCATATATTCATTCACAATAGCAAAGACTTGAAATCAAACTAGATGCCCACCAAATGCTGGATTGGTTAATGAAAATGTGGTACATATACACCATGGAATACTAGACAGTCTAAAGAAAAATGAAATCATGTACTTTGCAGCAACATGGTTGCAGCTGGAGGTCATTATCCTAACTGAATTCATGCAGGAATAGAAAAGCAAATACTGCATGTTCTCACTTACAAGCAGGAATTAAACATTGGGTCCTCCTGGAAAAAAAAAGGTGGCAATGATAGATATTGGGGACAACTGGAGGGAAGAAAGACGAAGGGGAGAAAGGGTTAAAAAACTAACTATTGGGTACTATGCTTACTATCTGTGTGACAAGATTGTTTGCACTCCAAACCTCAGCATCATACAATATACCCACGTAACAAACCTGCACATGGTACCCCCTAAATCTAAAATAAAAGGTAAAGTTATTTTAAAAATAAAAATAAAAATATAAAAAGCACAAAAAATGACTATCCTTTTACCAAACAAAACTAGTTGTTTTTATGAAAATCAAAAGAAAAAGAAGGATGTTTAGTGATTTTATTTTTTCTGAATGGGATGTAGACAGAAAAATTCCATATGGAATTTTCTGAACTCTTTTTCAGGATATTATTAAAAGGTTATTGTGTTAGTCCATTCTCACACTGTTATAAGGAACTACTTGAAACTGGGTAATTTATAAAGAAAAGAGGTTTAATTGACTTACAGTACCTCAGGCTGGAAAGGAAGCAGGCTGGAGAGGCCTCAGGAAAGTTACAATTCAGGCAGAAAGCAAAGAGGAAGGAGGCACTTCTTCCTCCTGGACAGAGCAGGAGGAAGACAGTGAAGGGGGAGGTGCTACACACTTTTAAACAACCAGAACTCGTGAGAACTCATGATCATGGGAGCAGCAGGGGAGAAGTCCGCCTCCATAGTCCAATCACCTCTCACTAAGCCCCTCCTCCAACATTGGGGATTACAATTCTACGTGAGATTTGATCAGGAATATAAATCCAAACCATATCAGTTATTTTAAGTCGATTCTCCAAGGACGGGCTCTATTTTCTTTTCGAGATACATAGGGCTCATTTATTTTATTTGGGTATTAAAAAGTGAAATTCCTAAAGGTATGTATGAGTTATCTGCTTCCTGCACTTTGAGCCTCTGTCACCTTAACAAGTAGGGTTGCAGATATATACAGCTATAATTCCAGATGCCATTTTCTTATTCTTCTCAACAAACTTCACTAAATAATAATAATAATACTAAGCTAAAATCCTGATGATTTTCTAAGACACGAATGACATCCAAATTTTAAAAGAAGTCACTATTCTAATCATTTGATTAACATAGGATTAAATTATCATTTCTTGGGATCACTTGTTTATAGCCCTTTGATCACTACAAATAGGCTTTTTCGGGAAATTAATATTCCGCATTTTGTACACAGGATCAGAAATCATCATACATGCTGAGTGACAAATTTGTTCTAGTTAATAGTCCTCTCATGGCAATAGCATAATTTAGGAGCAAAGCAATTCTACTGGATACTGAAAATGTTTAATGGAATCTCCAATTTCTCCATGCAGACAGAGAATTTTGTTTTCTAAATGCTTTAGCTCATCACTTTTCCCTGAGCATTCATCATCTGGGTACAATATCAATCAGAAGAGAAGCAGAAGAATCATTTGTACTGCATAACCACAAAAGCCAAGGACAGAATGTTCTCTCTAAACAGACTTAACTCAATAAGGGTTGCTCAGGTAATGACTTTTCATGGCTCTTTAAAAATTGTATTTCAACATTGTGGTTTCAGGCAAAATCACACTTACTCACTTGACACAATGGTCAGAGGACACCATATGGAGTACGTTGGAATAGAATGCCACGTTTGTATGAGGGCTAAGGGATTTTCCTTACATGTTTATAACTGGAGGAAGCAATGGAAAGGTATAATCTTCCACAACTTTTCCGGCTGTTGTGTGGATGTCCTATTTACATGTGTTTGAGCCCTTTAATGTTTAGCAATTAATTTGACTGAAGATGTTCTTCTGTGCTTTAACTTCATTTTAAATTTCAGTTTGAATGTAAGAAAATTATAAGCCTCATAGAAGTTCAAATATTAGTGAAAAAATAGTGCAGAAGGAATAGATCTTCCAAAAAAATATGACTCCCTGAAACCCATCCTTCAACAACCACCACCTGCTTCATTGTACCATATTAAGTACAATAAATTTTACTTCATTATATTTTATGTACACACTATTTATGCACTTTCAAATTACTGTTTATTACCTATGTAAATTTGTTATTATTGGTTATTTGATACATTTTCATCTGTTATAAATTTATTCATGTCTTGGGGTTGAAATTGATGCATATTTTTTCCATAAAAATAATAAAAATATATTGATTTCACTTAATATATTTTACTTAGACTCAAGGTCTTCAGAAAAAGATAAGTCATTAAGTATGTGATTAGTAAACCAAATACAAAAAAGATAGAGTAAGGAAAGACTATATGAAATAGCCCATTTCCTTCAGGTGCACCCACATTTGCCTTAGGGCCTTAGCACTTCTCATTCTGTTGGTTGTAAAAGAAAAAAATATAATATGTTTGAGTTATGGCAAACCCAGTGTTTAATGTTTATGAAGTGCCTGCCTTCTGGAAGCACATTATTGGAAGTCCCTGGCAAGCACAACCATCTGACGTTAAACATAGCATAGAGGTGATGAAGATTAAATTTGTGCAGAAGCTGACAATTCTGTTGATACGTTCCCAAGTCTCACAGCTGAGGTATAGGTCTAAAATTAAAGTTGTCATAGGTGATATTATTACTAAGTTGTTCTGAAAGGCATCACTTACTCCATATAATTGAAACAGAGTGTCTCCCTACAAAAATTAACATGCCATAAATCATATGGGTTTTGGAAAACGACTGGCTTTCAACAGGGTTTTATTTAATGAAAATTAACACAATAAAATGTCTTCATTGCAAGAATCATGCTGCAATGGAACCCACTCAAAACACATGGCTTTCATTTTTTTCTTGACAGACTAAAACATCTTGCCAAAATAAGATAGGCAAAAAGAAAAAAAATGATTATTTAACATTCTATGATTTGTAATGGATGGAGCAATAGAGAATAACAGTGATGAATACCAGAATTGATCTCATGTCACCAACTTAGAACTTTATTTTGGTAGCATATTACAGTGACGTGGTAAAAGTAGCCAAAGTGTTACAGCAAAAATGAAGAGTGGGAAGAAAATTCAATGTTGTTCCTTAAGAATTATGAATTGAGAAGTCTTTTAAAATGTTAGTTCAGCTGAGACTTTCTGATGAGTAGGAAGGTGTGAATAATTTGCTTTGAAAAGTAGTCATTTAAAATTGCTGGCTATTTGGCAGCTAACCAGAGCAGGTAATATGTAGCATACTTTTTGAGAGAATCACTTAAAGCTCAAAGATCCTTCCAAAATAACATCTTGGCTCAATGAATCTCCCAATAGAGAATGACCACTTGTGTACATTTATATTAAGCACATTTAGTCTGAAACCAAGTTAAATGAGACATTTGCAAGATCTTCAGAAAATTAATTTATACTGAATTTGGTATGACAACAAGAGAGGGAATATTCTCATAGATTTCTGGCCTGCTAACACATAAGACATGATGTTTGTGTAAATGTAAAAGTGCGTTAAGTATAGTTTATGAGTACATTTGAGAGGAAAAAAATTAAATGCCTCTATTAAAAAAGGAAAACATCTAAGATAATGTTAGCTATTCAATGTGAGCATCTTGAACTTTGATATTTATTTGGTTTTCTTTTTTTTTTTTTTTTTTTTTTTTTTTTTTTTGGGTCGAAGGGTGGTTGGAGTTTTGCCCTTGTCGCTCAGGCTGGAGTGCAATGGCGCGATCTCGGCTCACTGCAACTGCCACCTCCCCGGTTCAAGGAATTTTCCTGCCTCAGCCTCCAGAGTAGCTGGAATTACAGGCTCCGGCCACCACGCCTGGCTAAATTTTTGTATATTTAGTAGAGATGGGGTTTCACCATGATGGCCAGGCTGGTCTCGAATGCCTGACCTTAGGTGATCCATCTGCCTAGGCCTCCCAAAGTGCAAATTACAGGCATTAGCCACCATGCCTGGCCTATTTATTGTTATTGAGAGACAATTTTCTTTTATAATATGGGCAAAGGAGAGACAAGTGTTCAGCTAAAAATGCATATATTTCTTAACTGTGATATTGCATATGACTATAACCATAATTTAAAAAAATAGCTAACCAAACTGATCTGATATTTATAAATTATAAATAATAAATGATAAGCAGGTGCCAGCTCACACACAATAGATTCACTTACCAATCTTCTCCAGTTACTTATCAAACTTGTCTTCTAGAATCCCAGATGGATGTTGGCAACATGTCCATGATAGTGCAGAGGTGGCAAACACCTTCTGCCACCCCTGCTCCCAATAACATTCTCATGTTTATTAATAGGGAAATCCAGGTGGGGAAAATTTTACTAGACTAGATGAGCCTCCATGGGTCAAGAGAAGGGGGCAAGACTCCACCTCCTTTGAAATAGAGTTCAGTATGCCTAGGGTGCACAGTTTAACTGTTCTTGGATGAAAGATAGAATATCTATTGTTGAGATGGGATTATTACTGAAAACTATTAGATGTGCCTATACCTATGCCTATTTCAAACTTATGATTTGGATTATTTTTGAGTTCTTGTAGCTGTGAGCACTAAATTCTTGGGGTAGAGTGTTTGACTGACAGTTTTGATCCCAGTATTGAAGTCATCTTGTTTAGCATTAGAGTGGCAATGGGTAGGGTTGCACTTTAAGCTTTAAGGAGTGGAATAGCTGGGAGAGTCTCTCATATTCTGTTTTCTAAGTGTGTACTTCTGTGTCCTACAGCTTGCAGACTCAGCTCCAAGGGCAAAAGTGACTGTAAAATCTGTTGTCCAAAGTGGTAATCAGATTCACAGCCATGCCTATAATTAAAATGTGGCCTCATTTTTCAAGTTGAATGATTGGGTCTTGTTTCTGAAATAATTTTTACCATATTCTATATGTATATGTTTGATATTGCAAAGTCAATGACCCCCAAGACTTAGTGGCTTAAGCATTAAGCATTTTGATATCTCAAGAGTCTCTGTCACCTAGCTGGTTCCAGGTGAGCTGTGTCAGCTACAGTGTTGGTTTGTCTAGGCTTTTCTCAGAGAGAATGGCTCATCTCTGCTCCATGACACACCTCAGTCTCCAATAGGTTTACCTGGCGTTATTCCCAGTGTGACTTGGCTGGGTTCTGAGAGAGAGTTGAGGACATGCAAGTCTTTATGCTACATTCTGTTGGTCAAACCAAGTCCTCTGCATTCAAGAGGTGAGGAAATAAATGTCACCTCTTGATAACAATGACTTTATAGTCATATTACAGGGAGAAATATATCAGGAAAAAAAAATAATTTTTGCAATTAATCTACCTCATCTCTGTTTTGGCAACTGGATCCCCGTTTGATTTACTAGTAAATGATTTTTGCCTTGATAATTATTCCCAAAACCATAGGTTGAAAAAAATTAAGAAATATTATTATAAAATTTTGTAACTTGGAAGCAAAGATAAGATTTTAAAAGGAGAGAGAGAGAAGAGAAGAGAAAGGGAGAGAGAAATTATTCATATTAAAGCATCTAAAATGATAATTGTATCTGTCATCTAAGCAACAATTGGAAGTTATAAAATAATGAGTGATGCCTTTAGCATTAGCATTTGAGAGAAAATGTCTCTCAACTGAGAAATCTATGCCCAGCAAACTTTCCATCGTTTATGCAAATAGTATAAAAACATTTATAAAAGTGCAATTTTATAACAATTGTCCTTTTATGCTTTTTTTCTCAAATAAATACTGCAGAATATGCCCCAACAGAACAAGAGGGTTGGTCTTTAAAAAAATCAAAATAAAAACATACAATATCCAGGAAGGAGACAGTACTTCCAGGAGAGTTGAAAAAAATTCCGATTCGATAATAAAAGAAGATTTGGGGATGATAGCGTTACAGAAGTTTAGAAAGGAACCAGCCCAGATTGAAACAAGTGGACAAAAGAGAAGAGTGAAAAAAAAAAAAAAGAAAAGAAAAAACAAGTTACAAGTTACATTATTGGGTTTTAAAGTATCAAGAGAAGAAATATAATTTTGTCAAATAACTCAGAGATGGATTACATAGAATTCGTGACAAAAACCCAAATAATTTTATTTCTAAAAAATTATAAATTATAAAAAATGAGTTGTAAACAATGTGGTTATAATTATTATCATATAATATTTGACTAAATAAAATTATTATATATTAGTATTTGACATAATGAGAAAAAAGGAATTGTGTATGTTTGTGTGTGAAGAGATGTAGAATTCTATAGTAGGCAATGCATAAAAAGAAAAAGTTCTCAATAAATAGAAGTACATTACTATCCTTTGGTAAAGAGACATGTCAGTAGAAAAAATTAAATGCATTAAAAGTGGTTACATCTGAAAAGGGAGAATTAGGTGGTAAGAAGAGTGAAATGGGAGATTGACATTTATCATTATAAGTCCTACAAATATTTCTGAAAATTTAAACCATATGCATGTTTAAATTTGACAAAAATTAAAAAGTTTAAAAATAATTGTTTCATTTGAAAATATTTCATTGCCTGTTATGCATTAAATTTTCAATGTAGCAGGATTAGTGAAGATTAACTGATGAAACAGTTGAACACCTGAAGGAGGTGAAGAAACAAATTATGAGAATATCTTAGACATGAGCATTGTAGCTAGATGGGACATAAAGCAGTGGAGAGACGTATCTCTGCACCCATCAAACTGTCACCATTACAAGTAATACCCACTATTGGTAGAAATGTAAATTTTATAGAATTTTGGATCAGCAATCTGGCAACATCTATCAAAATTAACCATGTGTAACCGTTGTCTTTATATTACCTGACTCAGTGTTCATTTGGTGCTAAAAGCCCCTCTTGAGTGACTGTTTGTCAAAAAAACCTTTACAGGCAAATGGTTTTAATGTCATGGCTGCCTGAAACAATTAATAACATTTGGTACAAAACTCATAGACTAATAAACAAGCTCAAAAGGAAAAGCTGAGGAATGAGATGTCCATGGGGCATTCCAAAGCTTTGATGTATTCCTGGGAACCTAGAAGGCCACTCAGATGTGTAACGCTGTGTGCATGCTCAGGAAATAAATTAAAGAAGATATAATTGAGCTCTGGATTCAGTGTAGTTCCCATCAAAATTTCTACTATCTTTTTTTTTTTTTTTTTTTTTTTTTGCAGAGACAGATATCTGATCTTAAAAGTCATATGGTAATATCTAATAGCCAAAGGTATATTTAAAAAATGATGGGCACAGTCAAAGGCCTGTAACTAGTGTTGTACAGCATTAGAACTAAGATTGGGTTTTCCAGTTTTAAAGAGTTGTTAAAAAGAATGAGAATGGTGTAAAGAGGAGCAGCCACTGAAACCACAGTCCTCAAAACCTAAAATATTCACTGTTAGGCTCAGAAGAAAAACAGTTTGCCAACTGTGACAGTCTGCACTGTCAATTTCTGAGATGATCTTTTTAAGTTAAACATACACTCTCATGCCTGTAATTCCAGCATTTTGGGAGCCTGAGACAAGAAGATTGCTTGAGCACAGGAGTTCGAGACCAGCCTTGGCAACACAGGGAGACTCCATCAATCACTATATCAATCAATCTCATATATATATGTCTACATATATATGTAATTTTACATATTTTATACGTATGTATTACAATCTCATAAAACAACAAACTAATATTTCCCTTGTCAAATATCATCTACCAATTTCAGGAGAGCTGCTGGGAACATTTCTCAGGATGTTCTTCAGGCAAAGAGATGTTAATTTTCATCAGCTTTAGCCTTCTTAGGAACACTCTCTTTGATGGTGCAGGCTTAGAGAGTAGGTGAGAGCTTTGCCAGAGACTTCTGAGAATTGTAGTTATTCCTGGTGGATTTGTGGGGACTTCCCAGTTTTGTGCTTCAGCTAAGATATTTAGTGATTTTATTTTTCTCCAATATTCCTGCTGCTTTCCAAACTTTGTTTCTCCATGCCATCCTACATATATGGAAACTTCTGTTTACACTGAAGAGTTGCACACCATCATTCTGCCACATTCTAGTTGTCAAGCAAGTTAAGGCGGGACGAGGTGTTTTCATTTCGTGAAGAAGAATGCCTAACAGGAACAATGGCTTTTCATTAAAAAGATGCAGCCAGATGACGACAACTACACAAAGAGGGAGCCAAAATACATACTCTCACTTCCCTCTTTTCTCCCTATCTCTTGATACTGGTCCTATTGGCCCAACTAGACAGGAAAATACATCCATACAGATCAGCCACAACAAGGTCAGTCTCTCAGGTAGAAAGCAGTGTAGAGAAAGATGGAGAGTAGATCCAGAAGGAAAACAGAAGATAGTCAGCTTATTTATCAACCAGAAGAAATTGTATGAATGTAAGTGTAAACACAAATATAATTGTAAATAAATATATTATTATCCAAAATATATGAAGTGAGCAAATTAACAAGAAATCTATACATAAGAAGAGAGAAATAAACAAAGTCTATAACAGACATTTTAGCAAAGAGAAACTCTAAGCTGCCAATTCATGTATTAAAAAAAACACGGCATTACTAGTAATACACCATGGAATACTATGCGGCCATAAAAAATGATGAGTTCATGTCCTTTGTAGGGACATGGATGAAATTGGAAATCATCATTCTCAGTAAACTATCGCAAGAACAAAAAAGCAAACACAGCATATTCTCACTCATAGGTGGGAATTGAACAGTGAGAACACATGGACACAGGAAGGGGAACATCACACTCTGGGGACTGTTGTGGGGTGGGGGGAGGGGGGAGGGATAGCTTTAGGAGATATACCTAATGCCAAATGACGAGTTAATGGGTGCAGCACACCAGCATGGCACATGTATACATATGTAACTAACCTGCACATTGTGCACATGTACCCTAAAACTTAAAGTATAATAGTAATAAAATAAAAAAAGAAAAAAAGAAAATGTATGTAAAAAAAAAGAAATATTACAGAAATCAAAACAATAGCTTACCACTGCAAACCCTTTAAAACTAGCAACAACAATAAGTGTAATAATAATAAATTTGACATCCTGAAGTGTTGGCAAAAATGATGCAAGATAGGAATGCTAATTAACAACTGGTTGGAGTCTTAATGGGTACTCCCACTTTCTAGGTAGACTGGCAATATTGAAGAAAAATGGAGATCCATGTACCCATTGTAATGCATATGCAGAGGAACATATATGGAATTGTTCAGTGCTTGCAATACTGAAAAAAATAGAACACGCATTTAACCGTCTCTTAGGAGAATGGAGGAATGAACTCTTTTAAAATAGAATAATTAGTATTTAGACGAAAGGTATAGACTCTAGCCTCAAATATCAAGAATGACAAATCTCTCAAAATTACCTGGAGAAAGCAAGGTTAAGTGGAGAAAGCAAGGTGCCAATAATGCTCAATAAAGTATAGCACAATTGATACAATAATTGTAAATTTAGAAATCACATTTTCTTTGAGCGGTTTCTCTAAAAGCATGTTAGAGACAGAGATTTGAGTTTATATGATTTATTGGAAGGTGGCTCTCAGAACAAGGGGAGGGAGGAAAGCAAGGTTGAAAAGGTAAGGGAAGGAGTGGAGTAAGGTTGTTGTGGTCTTGGCTGAATTCTTGTGTCAGTTTGATCCTCGAAAGAGCTCTGGAGGATGAACTGAACCATAGCACTGGTCTCATCTTGAAGGAAAGGGGCTAACCTTGTTGACCCATCTCCCATCCTCTACACAAACCTTTGCCAGTCAATTATTAATGTGTGCTGACTTGTGGGAGGCATCCTGTCAGTGAAAGGGCTTCCACAGACAGCAGGAGACCTAGAACCAGGAGGAGCCAACATGAGCGGCAGATGGAGTGTAGCTGCACCAGAAGTGAAAAAGATCTGGCCGGGACATAAAACAGTGTCGATACACACATAAAACAATGGTATATTATTTATGGCTTTACATGTGTAGTAAAATTGCCATTTGTATGAAAATCGAAAACCACTCATTTCAAAATAAGTTTCCTCCACGTAGTGAGACAAGAAGGAAAGAAAAGTGATTCAAATGCTCTATTTGTATTATTTAACTTCTTTTAAAAATGATCTGAAGTAATAAAGCAACATGTTAACATTACATGGGTATAGGTACACGTGTATTTGAAACCTTTAAAACTTAAAATTATGTATAAAGACAAAGATGAGTAGTAAAGTGTGTAGATTTTGAAATAAAAATGATAATTCTAAGAATATTTTGACTTAATTTTGGAGGAATCATTTAGAAACTACCTGTAAAAATATCAATGGTGAAAAACTTATCTTTTCTAAATTAAAGATAAAATAGGAAAGTATTGTTTTATTTGGTTTTTTATTCTACTAATTCCATTCATCAAGAACTATACTTTTAGTCATACAAAGTAGTTATATAATTCAATTTGTATAATGTCTTTGTCTCTAGATATTTTTATCTATCCTCATTAACATTTCATGTGAAGATATGTGTGAGGGAGAAGGAAAAGGAGGAAAAGAGGAAGAGAGAGAGGTTGAGATTTCTGGAAAATATTTACTTAATTTTGAAATGAAATATAGATGGTGGGATTTGGATTATTCATTTCTTCTTCATAAGTTTATTAATTGCTTCCATTTTTTATAATGACCATTGCCTCATTTTTACAGAAACAATAGTCATTCTTAAAAATAATGAAAAATGTGTACCCTCCCTAGTAATAAAGCCATTACAAATTTAACAACTACCTGATATTATTTCACACTTTACATATTTGCTACTTGCCAAAAATAAGTGAAGAAATATCTGAAATTGGCAAGGTTTTAAAAACCTGGTACAATGATACAATGATATATTGCAAGTGGCAGCATAAATCATTATAATTTTATAATAGAAAATAAAACCTGGCAAAATTTCTGGAGTAGCAAACAGATATTTATATCCTCATATCCATAAGTTCATTTCCTAGAATTTATTCCACGGGAAATTACAGTAAATCAAAAATCTTCTCCATGAATGATAGTTGTTATAACAAAGCATTTGAAACAACTTTCTTTGGCTAATAAAATTAGGGAATACAAACTTAATGGGGCACTTTGCTATGATTAAAACAGGAAACCTGTGAATAAGGAAAGAATTGATAGTTCCTGGGCACTTAATTTGTACCTAGAGAGCTCAGGTGACTTTGCAAACCCTCTTATCTCCCAAAATTCATGGGTTCTACAACATTAAAATACCATTATGGGGGAATGAGTTCTAACTCATCCATAGTTCCCTGGCATGCTAGTAAATGGCAGTTTTAGAATCAAATCACATTCTAACTCCAAATTATAAACTCTTTCCACTAAAGAGTTTTTCTTACCCATAGAATTCATTTTACAAATAGATTTTTAAGTGGAATTATCTTAGTTCCAAATCAAATAGATGACAATGGCTGCCTCCACTCCACTCCATCCACTGGCTTCAACGAATCTTAGAGTACCACAAACACTATTTTAAAGATCACTACACTACGTCTTATTACATCTGAACAACGTTAAAAGGGGTTTGCTTTAATATGAAGTTTAAAATGATAGTAAAATAAAATACTGGCAGTTGCAATTCTTTCAATTGAGTAGAAATACATATAAAGACACATAGGCATGTATATCAAAACATACGTGTGTTTAAATAAGAATGGAAGCTATTTCCTGGTGGTATATTAAGCTAAGCCATGGGATCCTAGGCTGATATCTTTCATTATGTTATTCATTATCACTGATGAAGTGGTCCTCAGAACTTCATTAAACCTGCATAGATCCACTTATGTTTGTCCCAATTCAGACTTAGTTATTCATAAAATATCATTAAAGTTGTTCGCTGTATGAATGTGGGTGTTACAGCAGTGTGGGAGATATGAGAAGACTCATATATAAAATGTTTGAGATCAAAATATCTTCCTCAACATACTGTTTGGGACAGGCAGTGTGAGTTACTAACAACTTCTCCCTCCTCCTACCTTCTTGCCCATGAGAAAACTTCTACTTCTGTCATCCCTTCCCTTCATTCTACCCTAGTAAAAGCTAAAGATAATAGACACTTGCTTTCCCCACCTCCTTTGCGGACATTGTGTGAACATGTGATCACTCTTGGCCAATGAGACATGAGAAGAGAAATCTGGTGGCTCAGGGAAAAGTGCTGTCTCTGTCAAGAGGATGAGATGTGTGAAGTGTATTCTTATCTCCCTTTCTGCATGTGGAAGTTCTTTCCGTGTGGAGTGAGGCTTAAACTTACGGCAGCCATTTGACAACTGGGGAAAAGGCCAAGAGTTACAGGAAAGCTGACAAGTGTCTTCCTACAGAGTTTTCTGTGTGCAGTAAAAATAACCTTCTATTGTGAAGCTCCTTTGTACTATGGTATTCTGTTATTTGCTGCTGAAAGCATCCTAATGAAAATTGGTGAAATCTATCAGAGGTCTGAAATTCTCAACTAGAATGTATCAATTAGAAAGTATCGAGGACACCTTTTTTTGCTAATATAAATTTAATTTAGCTACTCCCAATGTGGGCTTTTTATGGTCATAAAAAATTTGCGGTAATTTCCTTCTTTTTATAATGCTTATCTCATAAGTCATGAATTTTATCTGAAGTGTGATTGTTTCCGATTATTGTGCCTTCCTCCTGATTTTCACAAGTGAAGCTGCTGTTTTCAGACTTCCTGAAAAACATGCTGGCAGTTTTCCAAGGAGCATGGCTATTAGGTCCCCAAAAGATGAAAAATTAATTCTTTCCTTTCCCTTTGCTTTCCCTCTCAGTTCGTTCTGCGCTAAGGCGGGTATTTTGAAACATACCTCAAATACTGCTGTTGTAAATCTCCTCATGTCCCACTGCAAGAATCAAATAAAATATGTGGAAAAGTGCTTTAAATGTAAGAAGACATTCTCCAAGGTGGGGGAGCTGATATTATTACTGTTGTTATATCTAAACAACATTGCCCCCATGTTAACAATGAAAAACTAAGAATGGGCAAATGATGGTACAGTCTGCCTAAATTATTTTCATAAATGAAAATAAATTTGTCCCTAAAATTGAGATAGTCTTGGTTATGACTGTAGCCTTGGGTAACATGGTCATAATAAACCCCAAATTTTGTTTTTGGTTAACAAACACTTATACAACAGTGGTTTAACCATAGCTGTATTTCAGGCACTGTTTAACATACTTAAAAGTAATAACTCTTTTAATTCTTATTATAACTTTTGAGGGAGGAACTTTTATTATTCCCATTTTAATGATAAGGAAACTGAGGCATAAATGGTTTAAGTAACTTGCCAAAGCCACACAGCTGGTAAGTGGCAGAATTGGAATGAATATAATTTTACTTTACAAAGAAAAATAAATGTATGAAGTTATTTACTAAATGTGAGAAAGTGTGAATAGGTTCACCACATGTTTCATTTTGCTTTATAGGAAAGTCTGAAAGGAAGAAAAAAAGGAGAAAAAAATCTAGTTGAAATTGTTTTATTTACCTTTTTATTTTATTTTCTTTATTTTTATTTTTATTTTATTTTAAGGGGTATAATAAGCATATTTTTCTGGAAATAACTGTACTTCATTAATGTGCACATACTGTGAAAGGGAAATTTTAAATAAAAATATCACACTATGAAAGACTCAACACTTTCTCCTCAATAAGCAGAACTGAATGCACTTACAGCAGGAATGTATTCAGCTTTCTTTTCATTTTTTTGCCTCATATGGTTAATTGCAAAACAGAGCACAAATGCTTTCTCTTCCTGAATCTATGCGTTTTTTTTTTCAATGAGACTTTGCAGTTCATCCCATCAAGGAGTGGAGTTTATTTCTTTATTTTTTAATCTAGATTTAGTCATGTGATATAGTGTTGGCCAGTGGGACATTAGAAAATCTGATGTAAGCAGAGGCTGGAAATGTGCTTGAATACTGGAGCTGCTTTTCTCTTCCAACTCTGAGGAACTCTGACTACCACCACAAAAATGAGCATCAGCTAGTCTGCTAGACAATGAGCCATATATGGTCCAGTTACTGCCTTGTCCCTATAGCCAGCTATCCAACCACAAAGCATATAAATGAAACCTTCAGCCACCAACTGACAACAAACAAATGGATACACTCTAACAACACCTTATGGAGCAGAGATAAGCAATCCTACATAAGCCCAGCCCAAAGTGCCAACTTACAGTATGTCTCAGTCTGTTCTGGCTGCTGTAACAAAAATATTATAGATTGGGTGGATTAATCAACAAATATTTATTTATCACAGTTCTGTAGGCTACAAAGTCTAAGGTCACAGTGACAGCAGATTTCTTGTCTGGTGAGGACCCATTTCCTGGTCCATAGACAATTGTCTTCTCATTGTCTGGGTACTCACATGGTGGGAGGGGTGAGTGACCTCTCTGAGATCTCTTTTATAAGGGCACTAATTCTATCTGGGAGGGCTCCACTCTTATGACCTAATCACCTCCCAAAAGCCTTCCTCCAAATACCATAAAAATTAGGATTAATCTTCAACACTTGAATTTTTGGGCTGAGACGGGGCATATTGAGTCTATAACCCAGTGTCCTAAGAAAATTAAAATGTTTAAATTTGAGTCAGCCATTTGTGTGTAATATATTATGTAGCAAAACTAACTTCCCTACCTCGAAAGAAAGTAGTATCCGATTCTCCTTTAAAGGGAATAGAAGCTTCCAGTAGGACAGGTGACTAAAAAAAGGAAAGTCTTACTTCATTCTGGAGTTAATGCAGACATAATCACACTCAGAGAAAGTAAAAACTCTGATCAAAATGCTGAAAAATGAGGAAATTTGATTCAAATCCTCCAAGTCTTGATAGAACCCCCACTAACCTCAAGGGAAAAACCATCCACTGAGGGATTGCCTGAAGTCTACAGCAGGAACAAGACTCATTACAGTCAAAAAGGACTTGTTTTTACTTCATCCAGCCTTTCTTTGGGCTTTCCTATGCTTAGTAACCTTCAGAAGCAGAGCAGGTAATGGCTGTATGCTTTAACCAGCTCACGGGCATTTCAGTGCTGCAAATCAGTCTTAATTCTCTTAGAATGTGTATAATTTCATTGCAATAGCCATGTATGAGCTAATGAGACTTAGGTTCCTTGGCTGAGTTTCCTTTCCTTCTCACCTTAGAGCCCTTGCCACTACCCAGCACATTTCATTTCCAAAAGATGCCTGAGCACTTCATAAACTTAGCTGGTAGACTTATAAACTTTATGGCCAAGGAATAAGTCCACCTCTGAAAGGTAACCTGCTTCTGGTGTTAAAAGTAGCAATTGTTTACATATGGTTAACCTGAAGGCATACGGAGACCAAACAATAGATTTAAAACCCTGAGATCCTTGTAGCAAGCCCTGGTAGGGTTTCCTTTCTTTTATTAAGTTCTCTCCTGCATTGGGTTTAGTTGACTGAGTCCAAAGGAAGTACGTTCAGTGAATGAACTGAACCCGTGACCCTAAGCACCTGTTTAGAATTGGATTTTGTGTAATGACCTGAGACAACCTTCCAACTCTACATGTAGGGAAGCTCAGTATGAAAAAAATCTCACGCCTTAAACTCTTTAAATTCAAATAATGTTTTAAAGAAATCCATTAATACATTATCATTTGCCTATTTCTGTGCATTTTACATATAATTTCACACTTTCTATTTTGTGTTTTATTTGTGGAACTAATTTTCCTCCATTAAAGGCAGGATCCTTGAATGAGCCATGCTGAGAATGCCTTTAGATCCTATTACAATAAATATGTAGGAAAGAAAGAACTCTGTGTCTACCTCTCAGTTCATTACTACCGTCTCCTCCCAAGAGGATGAGAAAGATTTGCTAATCATAATGCTGAGCTCAGGACATTCACCTGGACCCAGTTATGAATGGCAGGGTGGCCAAGGGTTAAGTAGGAACTCTGTTTCTTTTCTCACTCACTCCACGTGAAAGGAGCAATAGCTGTTGACGCCCAGGAAGCTTGCTTTCTTTACTCTCTTTATGCTCACATTGTGCTGACCACTGCTTGTACCATGTGACCAACTGGTAACTGTTAAGACTTGGGATTAGAGGTGAAAGAGGGAGATTCAGTTTTGTCAAACCTTTTTGCTGGTAGGTCTTAAGCACTGAGTTGATGAAAACATGCTCTTGTTTTCCATTGGCTTTTGACCAATGTGCACTTACTTCTGTTGGTAACCTCAAGATCCCTTGGAAAGTAAATCATAAACAGGAACGGGTTTTGGTATCCCTGGGTCTGCCAGTCCAAATACAATGAGATCCTTCTCCCTAGCAGACTATTTTGAAGATATAAATGTTGATACAATTAATTTATTCTTTTTTTATTTTTCCAAAGTTGGTTGTTTATAAGAAAAAATATTAGTTTGCAGCTTAAATCACAATTTACAAGCTATTGATATAATATCTTGGGATCTTTGATTCAAAGTAGTCAAAGCAAATTCCACATCTAAGTAACTCCAGAAAGATTAGAATCTATTCACTGCTTCAAGATGTTCAATGTGGGAGATTTCCATGCCAATGTGTAGCGCTATGACAGAAGCTGTCTTTTGGCTCAATCAAACCACTCATGTCTTATATTTGGGTTTTCTCCTCACTGTGCTCTTCTTGGTGGCAATGGAGATAGGGTGAACACTATTTTTTGCTTTATCATAGTGGAATATTATTTGGTGAGCTGCTCAATGTTAAAGTCTTCCTAGGGAGTGCTCAAAGACATAGGGATATGTCAAAAGAATGAACAAGCTAGCCACAAGGGGTTCCTACCGGCCAAAGCTGAGACAAGTTGACCATCAGAATATATAAGATAGTAAAGACAATGAATCAATGAATCAAGCAGGAATCCATGAGAATACCCTGATGTGTATAAATACATACACTGATAAATAATTGAAAGTTTTATGACTGGTGAGTTATTTACATAGGCTCGAAGTATTTCCTCTCAAAATATTTCTTAATTGCAAAAGTGAAAATAGTAACCTGACAGTGGGAAAGGCTGCCAGAGACCACTTCAACCAAATGATCAAGGTTAACATTACCAGTAATGAGATAAATCAAAATTATCCATTGATTATGAAGTAATGAGCAGAATACAGTATTAGCTCTGTGATATTTCTGCCAGGAATATTTGACTTAAATATCATCATGAGGATAAACAGGACAAATCTAAACCCAAATTAAAGGGCATTCTACAACATAAGTGTCAAGGTTTAAAAAAGTTTAAAAAAAAATGATTGAGAAACTTGTACAGATTGAAAAAGATTAAAGAAATATGACAATCACAATGCAACGTGTAATTCTGAAATGAATTATCTTGCTATAAAGTTTGTTACTGAGACAAGTTGTAAAACTCAGATGGGATCTCAGGATTAGATGATAGAAATGCATCAATGTTAATTTCCTGATTTGATGGATATGTTGTGATTATGATACATGGTTAAGAGAATGTCCTTGTTTGTATAAAATACACTAAAATATTTGAAAGTGTGGGGGAATCAGGTTAGCATTTTACTCTCAAATGGTTTGGGAAAAAAATACTTGCACCAAACTTTCGATAATCAACAGACAACTAGGTTCTGCTAGAGTTATGATCTCAGGCTGATTAGCCATGCAGATATCTGAAGTCTAGTTAAGAAAGGACACAGAAAGGCAGTCAGAAACATGAATATGAGAAAATTAAAAGTCAAGTACGCCTTATATTTCAAAGCCAGGGATTCCCACAGATGCTACATCAGTGCAGGGTTTCAAAGGTTAGCTTAAAACCAGTGATCGTTCTTGTTGAAGTTCCAGAAAGTGCAATGGTGGAGCAGACATTGCTGGTGCCCTGCCATCCTAGTGCTCCCCAGCAGTCCTTCAACAGCTGCATCTCCATCAATTTGCCTAAACACTGTTTGATGATGAGAGTCTATATTGCTTGGGTACACTGGTTTAATTACATTTCTTGAGAGTAGTCCTCACCTATTGACTGACGGATGTTAGTGTATAAATATTCCAGATTTCTTGCTCCACAGAGGGAACAACTCTTGAGTTGCATGTTTTCTACAGCTTCTTGAAGTTCCCCATTGGGATTGAGCTGCAGCTGCCCACAGTGGTAACTTGTTTGATAATATATCCTTTATATATTTTGACTTTCTTCTCTTCATTGAATTATTCCTAACTCTCTTTCTGCAATCACTTCCAAATTAAACTCTATATACTCACACCCCAGTCTAAATGTCTGTTTTCAGAAATCTCAAACTGAGACCAATGTTTAGCTTAATTATTTTGAGTAGGGAACAACCTAAATCTATACATGGATGCATATAAAGTTAAAACATTTTTGTAGGTACCAATTTTTCATCTCATTTTAAATCAGAAGATTTTTGTCTTCCTGTGTTCAATTTGAAACTAAATCATAATAAATTATTGGTTCCTTTACATGTGATTGGTACCACAAAGATAGAGGGTCTGGACACCTCTCTCTATTTCAAAACATCCATTATTATATACTCAATTGTTACAATGAATGAATAACACTATTTTCTCTGGGTAAAGGAGAGAGTTGAAGAGAAAATGCCAAGCCAAAGCAAAAATTCAAAGTCAAAGTCAAAGTCAAACACTCAAGCTAACCCAGTAGTTTACATATGTAAGAGATATAAGAATCTTTCTCCATAGATTTACTCTGAAGATATGCTTCTTGTAAGAACACACACACATGCATGCACACACATGCATGCACACACATCAGTGCTTCAAGAAAATAAATGACTGCCTTTGGGTTTTCATGTATTTTCAGTTTGACTGGCTCTGTCACTAGGATGTGGACAAATGAGAAACATTGGGGAGAGAATACAGAGAACCGAGGCAATGGGCAAGTAGAAACTGTTCTATTATGTGCTGTCAGGCTCAAGTGTGAATAGGCCTGCACCTGGAGGAAGGGAAAAAAGGAAGCATTCATCCATCGCTCCTCACATGGGGAGCCAGATAGGGCAAGGGGGCTGTCCTGTCAAGAGAATGATTCAGGAGTCCTTTCTCACTGAAGATTAATCATACCAAAGGGCAGGGGTAAAGAATACCCTGCTCTATTTGCTTCCCAATCTTTCCCCTCTGCCCAAATCCCAAATGCCTCTGTTTTCATATGTCCAGATATTGGTGAAGCAGAGCTGCTGAAAGGTCTGAGATATCTGGGAGATGAATCACTCCATGCAGAAATGGAACAATTAGCTGTGTTTAGTCCAGCACAAAGGCCTTGAGACGTGTCTAATTGAGTGGCCTGCAACAGGGCCAGGAAACAATGTGGATTTGAAAAGAATCCCACAATTAATTTTTGCATTGACCCAATGGGACATAATTTGTTAATGTGTACAGAGCCTAGAGTGGGCCTTTCCCATGATGCTTATGGATTGAAAGCGTATGGCATGCCCTTGTGTTTGTGCATACTTGGATGAGTGCTTGAAAAGTAAAGGATGTAGTTAAATGCAATCTTTTATTTTGCAGCCCATTATTAAATCTGTGACCATTTAAACATAAAATGAGACATTCTGGCATGGTTAAGGCCACACATTTCTCTAGAACATCAGGTTTCAAATTAGGCATTGGCAGTAAATGATTTTCAGCCATTAGGCCATTTTACAAAAATCACATTGCCTTAGGACAATTTTAGAAATAGGAAGAAGGTAAAAGTGTTTAAAACTGAATATTTTTACTCAAAAAGTGGAAACAGATTATATCATACAGACTCTTTTGTCCAAGAAAAAAAACTTGCTTCCTTATAAATGCTAAAAATATGTTAACCGCACGTGCTCATGGGTGAGTGTGCTCTAGTCTCTTTTCTTCCTGGTTCCCAGATAATTAGTAGTATTTTTGTTAATTTTGGTATTTGAAAGAAGAAATTATAGTTATTTTTCTAAGTAAAGTAATTGAAGGAATATAAGGAGACATGACCCTTTAGAATAATAATAATTTATCACTGTAATTAAACTTGCATTTTTATAATAATGAATTAGACTTCAGATATAAGTTATGCTTAGATTTTATCTCTTCTTTTTTCACTCATTTTAGATACCCAAGTAAGCACTATGTGAACAAAGACACTTAACAACTGGGTAACTGAGTTCTTTGCATGAAAAAATAAGGGAGAAGAAGGAACTGATTCTTAGGAGCTCTTTCTGCTCAGCATTTCCCAGATGTCTCTCTATGGCTCTATGGTGCCATTGATGACAGCATAACCTCCATAATATTTACAAAGGCAATAATTAAAATATTGGTGTGAAAAGATGGCATTTATTGAACTACACACAAATATCCCCTTCTAATGTCTGTCAGGAAAGCAGCTTTTCTGCAGCTTATGGTTCCTCATTGTCAGGCTAGGGGGCATGATGTGCAGCAAAGGAGCAAGTGGGACATTGGATTTTACAGTGCTGCAGATCATATCAATTTAGCAGGGGCTGGTTCTGCAGGGGAACAGTCTGACCAGTAAGTGACTAAGGAAGACCAGGGTTGTATACTCAAATAAGAAGAACAATTCTTCTGTCGTGAAGCAGAGGATGGCCAAAAGACAGGGATGGCTGAGAGAGAGAATTCTTTAGAAATGAGTGTGTGGTCCTGGTTGCTTTTAGTTCACCACCTCACAGATCCAGCAAAATGCCTAGGACATTGTGGATACTCAGTGAATGTAAGATACTAAATGTGAACTTCTGTGTCAATACAGTCCCTTCACCTAAAGCAGAAATGAAATGGAAATGATCCAAATTGGGGCAATAAAAGTAAGTGTCAGATTGTTGGGGAACGTGGTATATAAGCTGCCAGTGCACACCCAGATTTTATGTTATATGCACAGTAATTCAACTTTTACCTTAGTTGTCCAATGATGTCAAACAAATGGTCAATTCAGGAAACAATACAAGTCAAATTGATTGGTTTGCTGCATTTTACCTTAGTTGTCCAATGATGTCAAACAAATAACTGGTCAATTCAGGAAACAATACAAGTCAAATTGATTGGTTTGCTGCATTGGTTGGGAAGCTCAGGGGTAGCCACTAAGCTGGTTTTGAGTGTTCACACACTGGAAATCTCAAAATATTTGGTGGATTAGATATTCACAAGTAATGAAAGCAGAGTATGAGGGTGCTATATTTTTATTACATTTTAAATCAAGAATACCATTATCTTATGTTGCTAGTGGATTAAAAACTTTAAACTACTAGTAAGTGGAATAGCTGCTTATGCAGATAGACTATCTGACAGTGGTATGAAATGTTCATTAGCTTTTTTAAAATGTAAGAGGTATGAAAACTACACTAGTGTTCATCTAGTTACTCAGTAATCAATATTGTAGTCCTAAGCAAAAATCACTGAAAGATTTTTGTTTAGGATTGTTTTTTTTAGATTTTTGTTCCTTGGGGATGAAAATTGTGCAAAAAACTAAATATTTTTTAAAAGTTTGCTTCCCTTATAATAAAATAGAAGAAAAAGTTCATCCTTGCTGGAAAAGTGTTGAAACTGATAAACCATTGAGTAACATATGCCGTGTGAAAATTCTTACATTAAGAGACTATAACTGCATTCAAACAGAGATATTCTTAATAGTTTCATCATTCTTATGTGATAGGATAAAGTAGCTTCCAACATTTGCTCCTGATACTACACATGCATTCTGACTGAGCATACTTGACCCTTATTTAGCAAAGTTTCTCCCTGCATTTCTAAAGAATTGTGTGTAGCCTTTGAAATTCAAGCCAAATGACCGGCCCTCATGGCTGTGGCGGAAACAGAGAATGGTTCTTTTTCCTATAAAACCATCTTTATGACATCTTCTCACAGTTATCAGTGAGCCGAAGACTCCCACATCCTTTTCATCAGAGGCACCTCCTGCCTTGATTCCTGATTTCCATATGTCCTTCCAGTGGAGAAGTCTATTTCTGTATAGTTTTGCTTCTGGGGACGTTGCTGTTGGTTAGGCTAAATAATTTATTGTTCCTCTTCAGAGTGTGTCCCATCAGTTTCCAGATGTCTTTTCATGCTGGAATCTGTGATCTAGGTAGTTTTCTAAGACCAGAGTTCTTCGCTGGCCATAAGAGCAACAAAAATACATGTACTGTTATTTATATTTGTCTCTGAAAATCATATGTTTGGTTCAGCACATTTACATGCCAGCACATTTTGACCTAGAAGGCAGTTTCTTTAACTTGAAATGTGGATACATCCAAATCAGATAGATAAAACTAACAACTGTACTAAATGACTGGATATGGATTCTGTTTCTGGCATGACTTATAAGAACATAAGAAAATTGGTGTGTGGTTTGCTCATTGTGAAGCTCGGTGGTGGCTGTGTTGCTGAAGAAAGAAAGGCTACTTCTGTGAGACAAGACATAAAATTCAAAAAGCTTCCTTTTAAGAAATGTTGAATCTCATTCTGGTTCATAAGATAGTAGACATGTGCATAAGCAATTTATTAATCATACAATAGCACTTTTCTTCAAGATTGCCTGACATGGTTACTCTGATTTATAGGGAAACCATTCCATGTGAATCTTCCATAATTACAGAAATGCATACACTTAGGTTACCCCCCAAAAATTTGACCTATGACTTATGAGTAAGCAGGGATTTAAGAGCAAGATCCATGTGGAATGTCAATGGAAATGAAGGGGGAAAAAAAGGAAGGTAGAATCTTTATTGCTTTTTCAAACTGGTCCTGCTTGAATATGGAAGAATCCAGAGGGGCAAGTAAAGAGTCTTTCTATAGTTTGAATTTTAAGATCTCGTACTTGCTTTCTAATTACTACACTTTGAAGATGTCCTGCCATACGTGAGTTTTTGTGTGTTTTTTGTTGTTGTTGTTTTGTTTTGTTTGTTTGTTTGTGACAGGGTCTCACCCTGTCACCCAGGCTGGAGTGCAGTGGACTAACTGCAACCTCTGCCTCCTGGGCTCAAGCAATTCTCCCACCTCAGCCCCCTGAGTAGCTGGGACTACAGGGGCATGCCAGCACGCCCAGCTAGTTTTTGTATTTTTTTTGTAGAGACAGGGTTTCACTATGTTGCTCAGGCTGTTCTCTAACTTCTGGACTAAAGCAATCCACCCGCCTTGGCCTGCCAAAGTGCTGGGATTACAGGTGTGAGCCACGGCACCCAGCCCGTATGTGGTTTTATTTGTCTTGCGAGTAATCCTGTATGTTTTCTAGAAGAAAAAGGTGTGGGGGGCAGAAGGAAAGAAGACTAATGTGCTTGTATTTAAATCATGTGTTCTTTTTCAGAATCAGATTCAAATAAAGGCATGCTGCTACAACTCTCCACTCCCCTCCTGGTACCAAACACCACTTACCAAAGCTTGCTGTCCACCTCTTTGTGGATACTCCCTTTATGTACACACTCCCTTCAAGATCAAGAGGGGTAATCCTGGACTCATTATCTCTCTTTTGAAAGCTGTTATTTTCTCCTGTGCTCTTCATTAAGCAAGTATTTTTTGCATGTACCACATAATATGCATATATATTTATAATATATATTATATATATACACACACGCAATATATATTATATATGTACATATGTATTTTATATAATCAATATATACATGCACACACATACATCTCTGTGTGTGTGTGTGTGTGTGTGTGTGTGTGTTATGAGTACTTGAAGACATAACTATTTGAAAAACCAGAGACCTAATTTTCAGGCAAAGAGAAGAATATGTACAAAGTCACTATGGCATGAATGGATATACAGTAAGAAAAATGAAGAGAAGATTAGTGTGGCTGGAATGGAGGGGTTATGTAAGGTTATTTCGTGTGGCTAGTGTGGCAAAAGAAAGGAAGTATGAACTCAAATTATAAAGGTCCTAATATGGTTCCAGACAAGACTTGAAATTTAAAATGTGGGCCTTGCTGAAGTTCACAGTTAAACATGTTAGGACAATGGCTAACAGCTAGGTACAGGGACTTTCAATGACAACTGTGAAACAAAAGTAAATATCTAGGTGAGATCATGGTTTCAGTGTCCAAATAGTGTTGGTAAAAAAAAAAAAAAAAAAAAAAAAGCTCATGAGATAGAAAAAAAAAAAAGTGAAATGAATGGCCATAGGTGAAAGGTGAGAGAAATGAAATATCAGGTTGTCTCTGAGCTACTGGTGCCAATTTTTTCCTTCGCTATCTTTTACTTTCTGTTTAACCTACATTCAACAACCTTTAATGGAACTCCAATATCTACTGAACAAAATCCTAATACCCAGCTTTGTTGTAAGGAATGCTGTTGGGAATTCTTCCCGATTCCCCAGGCTTTGCCATTTCACAGTTTGCAAATCTGAGTAACAAATATTAATCCTTGCATCTCTTTGCCTGGGAGCTTTGTCTAGCCACCAGAGTCCCCTCTGCTTTGCACATGGAAAGGCAGGAATACCAAGAGATTAACACTTACTATAGAAGTAGCTCTCAATGAATGACTGAGTGTTGATATACAAAATACACTTCTTTACTCCTGAGAAACAACAAACTTGAGGAGTATAGTCAACACTTTTTTCTGTATTCCCTCAGTGATTAAGCTTCAATTGCCCAGAGTAGTTTAGTAATTCACTCTACAGTGGCTTCCTCATCTTCCTCGTCTCACTTCCTTACTCTACCATTGGTGTTTCTGGAACTTTCTAAATTAACGTCTTGCACTTGAATGCTTATCTAAGGGTCTGCTCTTGGAGAAGCCAAGATAAGACACATGGTATTAATATCATTTTCAATCAAGTCCCTTATTGTTCATTTTCAAATGCTGCATGTTCTGTGAAGCATACCACTAGCCCTCCAAAGAGAATGTATTCTCAAGGAGAACTTTGTGACTTTCATGATACTGAATCATACATATATCTGTTTCTGCCCAGTGAGTGTGACCTTTTGGAACACAAGGAACTGTGTTCTATCCACATCAGTGTGCCTAATGCTTAGTACAATGCATAGTACATATAAGATGTTGTGATGTTTTATTTTGTGTATTAACTTGACAGAGCCATGAGGTATTCAGATATTTGATCAAATATTATTCTGTGTATGTCTGCGAGGGCATTTCTGAATAAGTTTAACACATGAGTTGGCAGATAGAGTTAAAGAAGATAGCCCTCCCTAATGTGGGGTGGGGCGGCGGGAGGCAGGGAGTGCTCATCCAGTCTGTTGAAGGCCTGAATATCACAAAAAGGCTGACCTTCCTGTGAATAAGTGAGAACTCTTCCTGTTTGACTGTCTTCAATCTATAACATTGATTATTTTTCTTCCTGCTTTCAGAATCGAACTGAAACGTTGGATCTTTCTAGGTCTTGAGTATACTAACATTTGGAATGTAACTGTACCATTGCCTGTACTGTTTCTCCAGCTTGCCAACTGCTTCTATTTCTCTGAAAGACCTAAAAACCCGAATGCAGATTTTGGTACCAAGAGAGGTTCTAAAGGAACATAATTTTAAAGATGAGTCTTCTAAATTGGGTCTCTAGTTTTTAGAATTTCCTCTTTAATCTGATTAGATTTAAAGATGCTGATGACTCTGTTTCCAATAGTAAAGACAGCACTGATAGAATATGACATGATTTGAAAAAAGATATGCAAAATTATCACCATTGAATACTCCTAATCAACCACTTATAAGAAACAGGGACCCGGGGTATTATGTATGTGATACTTTTGAACATTTTTGTCAAACTAATGAATATAATGAGATTTGCTGTTTGCTTCTAATGTTGCAGGACAAAGTAGGAAAACAAAATGAGACAAGGATTCAAATTCTCAACTCAAGTTCTGCATGAATTACCTGTAAATTTCTATTTATGCCCTGAAGGAGGTCCTCATTTCCTGTACCTGCAGGGCTGAGACTACTGAAACCAACCCAGAATCTCATTCTATGACTGAATGAATAACAAAATTAGTTAAACTCACAGCCTTGCAGAGTGTGGAATGTTAAAGTGAGGACACTGATTGGAAAAGAATGAGATTACAAAGATGAATGGAAATCATAAGACCCTGTTGGAGCTGGAGATGTTGAACACCTAATTCTTTTTAAAATTTATTTTTAAAATTATTTTTATTGATACATAATATTTGTACATATTTGTGGGGTGCATGTGATATTGTATCACATGCATAGACTGTAGAATGATCAAGTCAGGTTATTTGGGGCAGCTGTCACCTTCAATATTTATCATTTTTAGGTATTGGGAACATTTCAAGTTCTCTTTTCAAGTTATTTTGAAAAATACGATACATGGTTGTTAACTGTAGTCACCCTATTCTGCAACCGAACATTAGAACTTATTCCTTCTATCTAACTGTATGTTTGTACCTACTAATCAACCTCTCCTTATCCCCGACTCCCACTCATACACCCTTCTCAGTCTCTGGTATCTGTTATTCTACTCTCTACCTCCATGAGATCAACTTTTTTCATCTTCCACATATGAGTGAGAGAGAATATGGAAAATGTATCTTTCTGTGTCTGGCTTATGATATTTAACACAATGATCTCTCAGTTCCATTCCTGTTGTTAAGAATTACACGATTTCATTCTTTTTTATATGGCTGAATAGTATTCAATTGTGTATATATACCACTTTTCTTTGCCTATGCATTAACAGATACTGCAGTTAATTTTATATCTTTGCTATTGTGAATAGTGCTACTATAAACATGGAGGTACAGATATCCTTTTGATATACTGATTTTTTTCCTTTGGCTATTTGGGCTTTTTTTAGTTCCATGTGAATTTTTGGATTATCTTTTCTATTTATGTTCAAAATGATATTGGTACTTTGATAAGAATTGCATTGAATCTGATGATTATTTGGGCAGTATGGTCATTTTAACAATATTATTTCTTCCAATTCATGAGCATGGCATGCCTTTCCAAGTTCTGTGTTTTCTCCAATTTATTTCATCAGTGTTTTGTAGTTTTTCTTATAGAGGTCTTTCACCTCCTTAGTAAAATTTATTTCTAGATATTGTATTATTTTTATAGCTATTGTAATTGAGGTTGCCTTCTTGACTTCTTTCTCAGCTAGTCCATTATTTGGTGATAGAAATGCTACTGATTTTTGCATGTTGATTTTTTATTCTATTCTTTACTAAATTTATTTATTATATCTAAGAATTTATTGATGGAGTCTTTAGGTTTTCCTAGGTATAAGATCACATCATCTGCAAAGAGGCACAGTTTGATTTCCTTTTTTTCAAAGTACATGGCTTTTATTTCTCTTGACTGATTTGTCTGGCTAGGACTTCCAGAACTATGTTGAATACAAGTAGGAGCACTACATTCTAATGAGTTTCATCCCTAGTTAGAGTGGTATCTCCACTTCTATCTGTGAGGATTAATCTGATTTCCAGAGAAATGGTAGCGGCCCCTCCAGAGGCAGTTGCCATTCAAGACAATGCTGATTTTCCTCAAGTCCCATCCCACTACCCTTCTCCTTCTAGATCTATAATTAGACTCATGTCTGATCAGGTCCTTAAAGGTGAGAAACAAAGTGTGACCCAAGTGGAGATGTGCCATACTCCAAAAGAATTACTTGAGTTTCCTAATTTATGTTGACAAAAATTCAAGAAACATATGTGGAAAAGATATTAAAGGTGTGGGATAGTGATAGAAGACACATAAAGTTGTAGCAGGATGAATTTGATATGGACTTTATTTATGGAATTTATTGCTCTGAAGTCAGTAAGCAGACAATCTGCATTCACTGTTTCAGATTGGGGTGAATTTGAAAGGACTCTAACAGTTTGTTTGATTGGTTAGTTGGTTGAAAACTGAACCAAAAGGTGACCTACAGTGAACAAGTTAGAAATACCATACTTGCTTTGGTTTAACGTATAGTAAGGGATTCACAGGCTTAGAGAGATTGGAATATTAAAGTGGGTTTGTCGCTTTCAGTTTAATGTAAAGACACATGCACATGTATGTTCACTGCAGCACTATTTACAATAGTAAAGACATGGAAGCACCCTAAATGCCCATCAAAGATAGGCTAAATAAAGAAAATGTGGTACATATATACCATGGAATACTCTGCAGCCATAAAAAAGAATGAGATTATGTCCTTTGTAGGGACATGGAGTTGGAGGCTGTTATTCCTAGAAAACTAACACAGGAACAGAAAACCATATACCGCATGTTCTCACTTATAAGTGAGAGCTAAGTGATGAGAACACATGGACACACAGAGGGGAACAACACATACTGGGGTCTTTCAAAAGGTGGAGGGTGGAAGGAGGGAGAGAATCAGGAAAAATCACTAATGGGTTGTAGCTTTAATACCTGAGTGATGAGATAATCTGTACAACTAACCCCATGACTCAAGTTTACTTAGGTCACAAACCTGCACTTGCACCCCCAAACTTAAAATAAAAGTAAAAAAATAAAAAATAAAAAAAGTCTATTTGCCCAGTCTGGGAAGACTCAGAAGACATACCTTTTGCCATGGCTGTGAGAAATAAATTTGTGAGTGGAGTCCTTTCTTCCTTGAAGAGGTCTCTGTAACTCCTCTGTCTGCCAGACCTTACAGTGAGAGCTGTGGACAGTAGGAACTTTGGTCACTGAACTGGAAAACATAATTCAGCTGGAGTAATTTGATCCTGGCATATTGGCAAGGGACCATTGGTGGCATTCAACCACTAAAAGTAAGATGGGAGTGGTTGTTGTAATAGACAGCAGAATCAAAGCAGCAATCAGAATAACCTGACTTTCTCAGACCTATGGTGTTGGAGCAAGATGAATTTATTAATACTGCCTAGTTGATTGTGGCATTTCTAGAAGTGAAACAGACAGGAAAAATAATAAGTTCTTAATTTTTGTTCTAGCAAAACAATTCTAGTTCAGCGAATAAAAATCTAACCAAAATGATAAAACAGAGGGTCACGGCTGCTCAATCCATTCCCAGACTAAACATGTTTACACTTCCAAGACCCATTGTATGAATAGAAGATCAAGTCCCCTTGAGAAAGGACACTGTTTTGGTCTGTTTTGTGTTGCTATCAAGCAATACTTGAGGCTAAGTGATTTATAAGGAAAAGTGGTTTATTTGGCTCACAGTTTTGCAGGCTGTACAAGAAGCATGGTAACAGCATTTGTTTCTGGTAAGGACCTCAGGAAGTTTTCAATTCTGGTGCAAGACAAGGGGAATGCAGGCATGTCACATGGCAAAAGAAGGAGCAAGAGTGAAGGGAGGAAGGCCAGCCTCTTTTCAACAACCAGCTCTTGAGTGAAGTAACAGAGCAAGAACTCCTTTATTATCACAAGGAGAACATGAAGCCATTTATGAAGGATTCACCCTCATGACACAAACACCTCTCATTATGCTCCACCTCCAACACTGGGGATCAAAATTTAACATGAGGTTTGGAGGAGACAAATATCTAACCCATATTAGACTCTGGTACACTGTAAAAAATTTGTGTTGCTATTTTTTTTCTCCTAGCCTTCACCAAAGTGATCTATGACCTTTTACCAGGATAACTGTGCATTAAGAAAACGGATATAATTATACCCTTTTTGCACTACTAGGTAGTTGTTCTGGACAAATCCTATTTTCAGGAGATCTAAGACATCACTGTTGTCCACCAGTCAGAGTAGGGGCTTATGGAAGTCAGGTAACTAAAAAGGTTTCAGCTCAGATTCTTCCCATAGAGGGACAAGTATGTCCCTGACCCCAGCCTATGGTTATTTCCCTGGTTCTGGAAGGCATAAGTGGAATAGGCATAGTTAGCAAATGACAGAATCCCAACATTTGTTCCCTTACCTGTGGTGTGAAGGCTACTATGGTAGGAGTGGCCAAGTGGAAGACACTAGAAAAATCTCTATCTAGGAAAGTAACAAATCAGAAGCAATTAAAGTATTAAAAGATTAGCGCCACCACAAGGAACTAGAAAAATGCAGGGGTGGCAATTCCCACAACATTCCCATTCCTAAGCATGACTATTTGGCCTGTGCAGGAGATAGATGAACCTTGGAAAATGACAGTGGATTATGGCAAGCTTAACAAGGTAGTGACTCCATTAGCAGTTGCTATACCAAATGTTATTTCATTGCTTGAGCAAATTAACACTTTTCCTGATATTTGATATGTAGCTATTGATCTGGCAAGTGCTTTTTAGTCCATTCTTTTCAAAAGGACCGTAAGAAGCAGTTTTCTTTCAGTTGGCATGGCCATCAATACTTCTTCACTGTCCTATCTCAGAGGCATATCAACTCTTCAGCCCTATGGCATAATTTAGTTTGCAGTGATCTCAACTGAATTTCCCTTGCACAAGGTATCATCCTGGTCCTTGACATTGGTAACATAATGCTGATTGAACTTAGTGAACAAGAAGTAGCAACTCTAAGTCTATTCTAGACATATTGGTAAGACATTTGTGTGTCAGAGGGTGGTTTTACCCACTTTCATTACCTAGGGGCCCAGTGGTATGGGTCATATTGAGGAATTTCTTCTAAAGTGAGGGATAATTTGTTTCATCTTGTCCTGACTACAACTAAAGAAGAGGCACCACAAGAAAAGTGGACCTTACTGGATTTTGGAGGCAACACATTTCTCACTTGGTGTCTTGCTCCAGCCCATTTACCTAGTGATACAAAAGCGATTAATTTTGAGTGGGGCTCAAAATAAAAGATGATTCCACAACAAGTTCAGGCTGCTGTGCAAGCTGCTCTGTCATGTAGGGCATATGCTCCAACAGATCAAAACGTGCTTGAAGTGATAGCAGCAGATAGAGACATTATTTGGAGCCTTTGTCAGGAACCCTAAAGGTGAATCACAGAGCGGGCCCTTTAGATTTTGGAGCAATATCCTGCCATGCTGTCCTCTGTAGTTAGCTACTCTTTGTGTGTGTGTGTGTGTGTGTGTGTGTGTGTGTGTAGCAGTTCTTGGCCTGCTACTTGGCCTTTGTAGAGGCTGGGTGCTTAACATGGGCTAGTAAGTTACCAGGTGACCTGAGCTTCCCATCAAGAACCAGCTAGTATTTGACTCACTATTCCATAAATTTGGATGTGTACAGCAGAGCTCCATAATCTAATGAAAGTGGTGTATACCTAATTGGACCCACACAGGCCCTGAAGGCTCAAGTTAAGTTACACAAAGAAGTAGAGAAAATGTCCATGGTCCTCAGTGCTGCTATATTACTGTCTCTTTCCCAGCTTGTACCTATGGCCTCATGAGAAGCTTCCAAAGGATCAGTTGACAGGGGAAGAGAAGATTTGATGTCTAAATCCATCCATGCTGCTGTTAAAAAGTACCTGAGACTGGGCAATTTATAAAAAATAGAAATTTGTTTCTCACAGTTCTGGAAGCCTGAAGATTGAGATCAAGGCACCAGCAGCTTCAGTGTCTGGTGAGGGCTCAGTCTCTGCTTCCGAGATGGCTCCTCGTTCCTGTGTCTCACATGGTGGAAGGACAGAAAAGGCCTAGCTGGTTTCTTCTAGTTCTTTTATAAGGGCATGAATCTCTTCATGAGGGCAGAGTTTGCATAGACGGATCATCTCCTAAAGACCCCGCTTTTGAATACTGTTGCATTAGGGATTAAGTTTCAACATGAATTTCAGAGGGGGCACAAACATTCAAAACATAGCAATTGGGATTCATTCTCAGATGTTTCTGCACAATATGAATGCAGCATCCAAATGGACAATTAGAACACTGCAGTCAACTTCAAAGGCATTCCTGAAGAATAGAGGAGAAAAAAAATATCCCCCCAAGGGGCAGAAATGTGAGCAATCTACCTGGTTGTTCACGTTGTTTGGAAGGAGAAATGGCCTTATGTATGACTGTACGTCAATTCATGGGACGTGGCCAGTGGTTTCCCTGGATGGTCACAGACTTGGGAGAAACATAACTAGAAATTTGAGGAAAAGGTATGTGAATAGATATCTCTGAGTAATCACATAATGTGGAGATATTTGTGTCCTATATGGATGCTCACCAATGGATTACCTCAGCAGAGTAGAATTTTAACGATCAAGTGAATAAGATGACTTATTCTCTGCATATGTGTCAGCCTCTTTCCCCGTCCACTCCTGTCATTGCCTAATGAGCTCATAAACAAAGTAGCCATGGTAGTAGGAATGGAGGTTATGCATGGGTTCAACGACATGCGCTTCAACTCACCGAGGCCAACCTGGCTATGACCACTGCTGAGTGTCCAATCTGTCAGCAACAGAGACCAACAATGAGCCCCCAATATGGCACCATTCCCTTTGTTGATCAGCCAGCTACCTGGTGACATGATGATTACATTGGACTCTTTCCATCACAGAAAGGGCACTATTTCCAGTACTTTCTTTCTGGAATAGACACTTATTTTGGATACAGATTTGCTTTCTATGCGTGCAATGCTTCTGTAAAAACTCATCGGTGGGCTTACAGAATTCATTGGCCACCACCATGATATTCCATAAAGCATTGTTTCTGATTAAGGAACTCACTACCCAATAAACGAAGTGTGACAATTACCCATGCTCATGGAATTCACTGTTCCTCATCATCCTGAAGCATCTGGACGCATAGAACCATGTAATGACCTCTTGAATACGCAGTTACAGTGCCAGCTAGGTGGCAATACCTTGTGAGACTGGAGAAAGATTCCCCAGCAGGCTGTGTGTTGTCTGAATCAGCCTCCAGTATGCGGTACTACTTCTCCCATAGCCAGGATTCATGAGTCCAGGAATCAAGTGGTGGAAATGGGCCAGGTATCGCTCACTAATATCCTCTAGTGAGCTACTAGAAAGTTTTTCTTCTTGTTTTCATGGCCTTATGTTCCCCTGACCTATAGATTTTAGTTCTGCAGTGGGGAACATTGCTACCAGGAGAAACAGCAATGATTTCATTTAACTGGAAGTTAATGCTACATGGTCACTTTGGGCTCCTCCTGCATCTGAATCATCAGAAAGAGGGAAATTACTGAATTACTGTGGTGGGTGGGGTGATTGGTCCTGACTACCCAGGGGGAAATTGAACTACTTCTCCACAATGGCAGTAAGGAGGAATATGTTAGGCATGCAGCAAATCCCTGAAGGCATCTCTTAGTTTTACCATGTCCTGTGATTAGGGTCAAAAGAAAATTATAACACCCAATCAAAGGAGGACACTGATATCAGGACTTTTCAGGAATGAAGGTTTTATACCATCAGGTAAAGAATCACCACAGCTGAAGTGCTTGCTGAAGGCAAAGAGAATACAGAATGGATAGTAGGGGAAGATAGTTATAAATACCAGCTATAGCGAACTATGTGACCATTATCAAAATGAGGACTGTAAATGTCAGGACTATTTCCTCCATATTTTGTTACGGATATGTTTGTGTGTATAAGAAAACAATATAATTTAACCTCCCTCACTTATTCCCTTATTATGTAACATAAGATGTATTGACTTCATATATTTGTGTTGTTAATTTTATGTTATATTATTTAAGTTATAAGATGTCAAAGAGAAGAGTAAAAATCACTCAACACTTTACCTGCTCTTTAGGGGAAGAGATTAGTGTGGTTTTAGTTATGTGCAGAATAGCTCTATCATGTTTTATGAAATTATGGCCGTGCTATGTTCTTTATTTGGAGATTAAGTATGTGTACTAGTCCATTCTCAGGCTGCTAAGAAGAAATACCCAGGACTGCGTAATTTATAAAGAAAGAGGTTTAATTGACTCACAGTTCTGCATTGCTGGGGAGGCCTCAGGAAATTTACAGTCTTGCCAGAAAGCAAAGGAGAAGCAGACACCTTCTTCACAGGGTGGCAGGATGGAGTGAGTGCAAGCAGGGGAAATGCCAGACACTTATAAAACCAGCAGATCCCAGTCTGTCCAACATGGTGAAACCCCATCTCTACTAAAAATACAAAAATTAGTCAGGTGTTGTGGCAGGCACCTGTAATCTCAGCTGCTCAGGAGGCTGAGGCATGAGAATCACTTGAACCCAGGAGGCAGAGGTTGCAGTGAGCCAAGATGGCACCACTGCACTCCAGTCTGGGTGACAGAGTGAGACCCGGTCTCAAAAACAAAAACAAACAAAAAAACCCCTGAAAACAAAAAAATCAGCAGATCTCACATGATGAGACTCACTCATTAGCAAGAGAACAGCCTGGAAGAAACCACCCCCATGATCCAATTACCTCCACCTGGTCCTGCCCTTGACACATGGAGAGTACAATTCAAGATGAGATTTGGGGTGGAAACACAGCCAAACCATATCAGTATGGTTTAAGGAGAGGCGTATATGTGCCAAGATGAGAAGGGGTAGAATTGTGATAGTAAAGTTTATGTATTAGCTTTGCTGGGCTATCGAGTGGCTAGACATTAGGTCAAACATTCTGGGCCCTTATGTAAGGATGCCCCTGAATGAGATTAACATTTGAATAGGTAGACTGAGTAAAGCAGATTGACATCTCTAATGTGGGTGGAACTCTTCCAGTTAGTCGAAGGGGCCCTAATGGAACAAAAAAGTTAATCCTCTTGCAAATAAGAGGGAATTTCTGTTTTAGTGCTGGGACATTAGATTTTTTTCCTGCTTTCAGACTCATATTGAGACATATTTTCTTTCTGGGTCTTGAGCCCACCAGCATTTTGGACTGGAAATATACCATAAGCTCTCTTTGGTTCCCAGTTTGCCAACTGCAGATTGTCAGCCTCCGTAATCAAATAAGTCAATTTCTTATAATGAATATCTATCTATCTATTTATCTATAAATATATAATGAGTGTGTGTCTGTACATAGACACACACACATATATATGCATCAAGAGATTCAGTCTACCCATTCAAATGTTAATTTCATTCAGTAGCACCTTCATAGACATGTCCAGAATGTTTGACCTACATGCATAGAGAGATTAATTATAAGAAATTGTGTACACAGACACAAACACACATCTTATCAGTTCTATTTCTCTGGAAAAACCTAATACAGATTTCAGAATTATTTTTTATTTTGAATTAAGTGAAGTTCAGTTCCTTAGTTGGGATTTGCAGAAAAAAACTGTATAAGTTGAGAAGCATTTAGGGCTTTTTATTCTGGAATTTAAACAAGCTGATTTGAGCAGTGATTTCGTACCTCCACATGTCCTGGAATTTGAGATTGAAATTCAATGCTGCATTTGGTTTACCTGTGAAGCCTAAATCCTAATCACATTTCAATAATAGAGATGAAAATCTGGGTGGGGAAACATCATCCAACAACTGCACACAGTGTGCCAACTTTGTGTTAGATTCTGAAAGGTGCATAATGAGGAAAAGTGACCTCATGGAACACTGTACCTAGTGGGAAAGGAAGACCTTCTCCACATAAGTGCACAAGTAAATTCATAACCACAAATGTGGATACTATTTCAAGGGATTTAGTGAATTACCTGAGAGTATTTGTGATAGAGGCTTAATTGCCTCTAAATTATCAGAGAAAGCTTGTTGAGGAGGTGACAGGTAAAGTAAAATCTGAAGGACGTGGAAGAAGTGACCAAGTGAAAGGTGGAAGGAAGATTATCCTAGAACAAGAGAAAGCTTGTGGAAAGACCCTAGGGCAAAGATAGAGGGACAGAAAAAGTCATTAAGGCAACGCAACAATGGTAACTGGATATTTAATTATCAGAACAACTATTTCAGAAAGTCTATTTATTGTTGCATCTTCAATTTGCATAATTATGAATACTTATATATAAATATATTTGTATGTGTATATATAAAATAACATATACGTAAACGTTATACAAGTGTTTGAATAAAAGTTGTATGGTTTATACAATTGCTCAGCTGTTTATTCATAGATATAGTTGTAATTATTTATACACATATTTGTAAACACCAAGAAAAACCACCCTTCCTGTTTTAAATATCTTTACTGGCAATACCTGAAAATACCACCAGATGGTGATGTTTCTCCTAAAAGAATGATACTTCCTATTTTTTTTTTTTTTTTTTAAAAAAACGATATTAATTAATTCAAAATTTAATGGTGTCCTTGTCTGCTAATTCTAACATCCGAGGGAGTTTAGGATTCATTGGGAAGGATTGATTGACTCCATCATAATGAATTGTATCTTTCTGTTCTTTGCATGCCTGTAAATTGTTGGTTTAATACCAGATATTGTAAAGTTTTGCTTCCTGGGTGCTGAATATTCTTTTATTTATATTAATATGCTTGAATTTTGTTTAGGAATACAGCTGAATTACTTATTCAATAGTAATAGTTTTATCTTCCTGAGTCTTGTTTTTGAAATGTGTTAGGTGGCATGAGCACACTCAGTCTGGATCTGATTGTTTCCCATTACTAAGGCAAGATCTTTCTGTGCACTCTACACAGCGCCCCTTGAATCTTGAGGTTTTGTAACTAACCTAGCTGATGGGAATGGGCACTATTTCCAATCTCTTGTGAATCCAGTTAGACAGGACAGTGGCAATTTTTTCAGGTGGTTCTTTCCTCAGTCTCAGGTAGTTTCCTCATATACACAAACAAATCAAATACACAAGGGAACCCTCCGCAGACCTCCAGAGTCCTCGCTCTCTACATTTCTCTCCTCTCTGGTACTCTGCCCTGCCAACTTCAGCTACGTTGTTCTCTGCAGACTCTCAAATCTATTATCAATAAGGAATTTCTTGAGATTTTCCTAGGTACCCAAGGCAGCCATCTGGGGTAAATGAAACACTCATCTCATTTGACTTCCATCGCTCAGCAATCACTCGCCCTTCTTGCCTCATGTCCAGTGTCTGGCAAAATTTGTTTCATATGTTTTGTGTTTTTCAGTTGTTCTTCCTTGGCCAGAAGTAGAAGTCACTTTCTTGCTTTTTAACCAAAGATTTCAGATAACTTTTTTTTGGTGGGGGGAGTGTGTGTAATTTTAATTTTTTTTTTTTTTTTTTTTTTTTTTTTTGAGACAGAGTCTTACTCTGTCACCCAAGCTGGAGTGCAGTACCACCATCATAGCTCATTGAGGCCTGGAACTCCTGGGCTCAAGCAATCCTCCTGCCTCAGTCTCCTAAGTAGCAGGAACATATAGGTGCATGCCACTGTGCTCGGCTAATGTTTTGTTTTGTTTTGTAGAGACAGGGTCTCACTATGTTGCTCAAGCTGGTCTTGAACTCCTGGGCTCAAGTAATTCTCCTGTCCCAGCCTCCCAAACTGTTGGGGTTGCAGGTGTGAGGCACCACACCTGGAGTCTGTTATATTATTCTTAATATTGACTCATTCAAAATACACTGTGCAATTGCTCTGAACAACAATAATGCTAGGCTAGGGATATCAATGTGATCCTGTAACTGAACAAATTAAACACACAAATGTTTAGATACAGAAATAAGAAGGTAGATTTTTTTTGCTTGCAATTCACAATCATGTGCCTCATAACAACATTTAGGTCAATGATGGACTTCATATACAATGATGATCCCATGAGATTATAAGACAGTATTTTTACTGAACATTACCTATGTTTAGATATGCTTAGATACACAAATACTTACCATTGTGTTACAGTTGCCTACAGTATTCAGTACAGAAACATGCTATACACGTTTATGGCTTAGGAGCAAGAGACTATACCATATAGCCTAGAAGTACATCTAGATTTGTGTAAGTACACTTTAGGATGTTCATACAAGGGCAAAAATTACCCAACTGCACATTCCTCAGGAGGTATTATCCCCCTCATTTAGCAACAAATGACTGTAGTTTTGTTTTATTGGATTTTTCTAAATGATTATTAAAAAAACAGAATATTTTATGAAGACAAAGGTAATGACACTAAAGTGAAGGCTTCTTTAGAAGACAGGTCAAGTCACACAATTCTTTAGTTTAGAAGGTTGAAGTGGAAATATTGAGTGTTACAGACCAGAACTTCTCAACCTTTAACATATATATAAATCATGATCTTGTCAAAATGCACATTTTGGTTGCAGAGGACTTGGATGAGGCCTGAGATGCTGCATTTGTAATAAACTCTCAAAGGATACAGGTGCTCCTAAGTGATGTACTGAATTCGGCAAATAAGAGTCATCTGTGGCCTGGCACAGTGGTTCATTCCTATAGTCCCAGTACTTTGGTAGGCCAAGGGGGTGGATCATTTGAGTTCAGGAGTTCAAGATCATCCTGGCCAACATGGTGAAACCCCGTCTCTACTAAAAATACAAAAATTAGCCGGGCGCAGTGGTGCGCGCCTGTAATCCCAGCTACTTAGGAGGCTGAGGCAGGAGAATTGCTTAAGCCTGGGAGGCAGAGGTTGCAGTAAGCACCATTGCACTCCAGTCTGGGCAACAGATTGAGACCATGTCTCAAAAAAAAAAAAAAAAAGCCATGAAACAGTATGCTGTTCAGGGTTTACGTATTATCTATTTACGTATTTCAAAAGCCTTACACAGTATGTTGACTTATAGAAGTTCTCAATGATTATTATGGTGATAAAGTTTCCTTAGAGAAATTTTATCCCATGACTCTTAATATTTTGATCATATCTACCCTGTAAAAATCAATAAAAAAAACATGGTCTGACAAGCGCCAAATTTTTATTCAAATGCATGTATCTTTGCACTTTCTAAATTCCTTTCACAGGGCTTCTAAGATTCTTAAACCTCTTAATTTTTATACATGCTGACACTGTTAATGAGCAGAAATCTTAAGTTATTACTGTAAATTCCAAAGTTGATCATTGGTAGAATTTTTATTATCTCCCAAATCTGTAAATTTTGAATGATTTTTTCCCATGCCTTCTATTATACTGTACTCTTTTTCAGAAAGGAATACATTTTCCATTCCCAAAAAAGAGGATGGATTCTATTGCATAAACCTAAATGAGCTGACTACTGGGAGTTATAACTTTGTCATGGGTTTACTGGCCTGGGAATGTACAGTATAAGCGTGTGTTGTTCCCTAGGGGAAAGGTTTAAGTGCAGCTAGGACCACCTGTTGCTAAATGTTTCCTTGAGTAGCTCTTAGTACAAAAGGGGATGTAACCATTAATGTGTAGTTGCCTTCAGCCAAAGTGAAGTGGGGAGTATATACTTTTATGCAGATGACATTAGCACATAGACATTTGCATCCTAAGATATCAAAAGAATTAGTGACATTCTCCCTTTCTCATTCTCAATAGGGTTATACAGCTGTAGCAATTGCCTGTGGGCTATAAAAATAGACACTAGATGTTCTGGACCATGGGCTTATGAACCATGGGTACGGAAGAGTATTTTGAAAACCCTTCATGTGTAGAATCTGAAATAAATGTGCTTGTTGAGATTCAATAATGTTTGCCGATACCCATGTAGGTGCCGGGGGAACCTAAGGAAGAACCTTAGGGAGGCTGCCTTTTTGTGTGTGGAAGTGGAGGGAATGTTTCAGGACTTTTCCCAACAAAATTCAGAAAGAAAATCTCTGAAAATTGTTTTGGTGAACCCATGACAACTATTTCACTGTACTGACAATTTAGAAAAACAAGACACACGCACACACACACACACACACATTTCCCAGAGCAAAAGTGGACATGAGAGTATCTAGAAAGAGAAAGTGATTTCTCACAACACTGCTTCCATATTGAACTCTTTAATGTCTTTTGAAAAGCAAGGTCGGCCTCAGAACCATGCAGGCCTACAAGAATTCAACCATTTGTTGGTCTTTTGTTAAGATATTGATTAGATTCTTGTTCATTTCTTTGCAAGCCTCCCAGTTTAGTCTATTGATTTGTCTAAGCTTTTTTTCTTAGAGTCTTGAACTAGGTCATCGGAATAACTCTTAACATTTAACTAGAGTCATTAAAAATAAACAGACATTTGAGAATAGTGTAATTGGTTGTGAAGGCATTTCCAAGGTGGAAAGGCCAAAGGTGGCAAGGCAAGTCCTTGTGGGCATGTTGTCTTTGAGACCTGACTTACTCTGCAGTTCTCCAAGACAACTAAAGACTTCCTATAGCTTCAGGCAATAATTTGTCCGAAGACTGTTGTAAGAGTTTGGCTAAAGAAAACCAGAAAGCCTATGAAAACATGGCTTACTAGTAACACATCCCAGCTGTTTGCTCCCTGTTAAAAAGTAGAGAATGATGTGTTCTGGAACGGCTTAAGTGCTCTGCTGTGTATGTTTTTAGAACTGTACAGAGTCTTAACAGCATGAGTCCTGTTCATTTTAATCAGAGTTGTGTGGTTTAAACTTGTCTCTGAATCCAGCTTTTTGCTATTGATATGTCATGTTTAGTGTATAGTCTCTGGAATTAGGTTATTGCCAAATTTCTATTGTGTTTTTGGTGATCATGATCCCTGTGATTTTCTTACTCATCCAACTCAAGTAGAAAGATATCTTTACATCTCCTGTTAGAGCATAGGTTCTTTGAAGACAATATATTACTCATGTTTTTCTTACCGTGAGCAATAATCCTCAAATCACTGCATGCATAAGAGCAGCAGAAGAATCACCTGGAAGGCTTGATAAATCACATATCACTGGGATGCTGCATGAGAGAGTGTGATTCTGTTGGTCTGGGGTGGAGTCCAAGAATCTGCATTTTTAACAAGCTCTCTGCTGCCAATTCTGAGACCTCATTGAAATAGCACTGCCTTGGAGCCCTGCTCCACAGCCCTATCAGGCCACTAATTATATAAGATATTTTATAACACAGCCTTTACTACTCTAAAATGAAATCCATAGATAATATAAACTACCCACATACTTATCTTTAAGTCAATATAATGGTCTAATTATATTGTAAAAATAAATTGCAAATGAAATTAAGAGGAAAATAATTTATGATAAAATAAGTATTTCAACATGTCAATGTTTGGACATAACTACATTGGAAGATATAATTAAGTTGTCATGCTTATACTCATTCATAGGATCACCTTAAATGTCAGTTACAGATGTAGATATGTTGTGTAGCTACTAAAAATAATGACTAGGGTTGCCTTCTGTGATGTGATTTTCTGAAATAGCAAAAAATTATTGAGAAATTGCCAAACAAAATAAAGAATATATTTTCTCAATGTGTCTGGTAGTTGCTATTAATACAGTGTAAAAGAGATACTTTGTATTTATATGTAAAATGAATTTAAGTTTTAGGCTTAATATATAAATATGTTTTTCACCCACATGAATGTCACATAAGACCAGGTTCATTCTTCATTGTGTGAGACTATTCCGCACATTGTAGAACATCTACAACTCTAGGTCCTACTCACTGAATACCAGTAGTGCACCTCAATCTCCAAGTTCTTCTAATGCCTAAGGATACACCTTAACTAGTATATCTTCTTTTTTTTTAAGTTCCGGTGTACATGTGAAGGATGTGCAAGTTTGTTACATAGGTAAACATGTTCCATAGTGATTTGCTGCACCTATCAACCCATCACCTAGGTATTAAGCCCAGCATTCATTAGCTTTTTCTTCTGATGCACTCCCTCCCTCCACACCCCCAAAAGGCCCCAGTGTGTGTTGTTCACCTCCCTGTGTCTATGTGCTCACATTGTTCATCTCCCACTTATCAGTGAGGACATGCTGTGTTTGGTTTTCTGTTTCTGCATTAGTTTGCTAAGGATAATGGCTTCAGCTCTGCCCATGTCCTTGCAAAACACAGGATCTCATTCCTTTTTATGGCTGCATTGTATTCCATGGAGTAAATGTACCATATTTTCTTTATCCAGTCTATCACTGATGAGCATTTGGGTTGATTTTATGTGTTTGCTATTGTGAATAGTGCTGCAATGAACATATGTGTGCATGTGTCTTTATAATGGAAAGATTTATATTCCTTTGGGTTTATACCCAGTAAGGGGAAATGTGAGAAAATCTTTGCTATCTATTCATCTGACAAAGTCTAATATTCAGAATCTACAGGAATTCAAACAAATTTACAAGAAAACCGATTAAAAAGTGGACAAAAAAACATGAACAGACACTGCTCAAAAGAAGACATTTCTGTGGCCCATAAACATATGAAAAAAAGCTCAACATCACTGATAATTAGAGAAATGCAAATCAAAACTATAATGACATATCATCTCACGCCAGTCAGAATGGCAATTATTAAAAAGTTAAGAAACAACAGATGTTGGTAAGGCTGTGGAGAAACAGGAACACTTTTATACTGTTGGTGGGAATGTAGATTAGCTGAACTAGTATATCTAACCTTGCTATCTTTAGTACCTTAAAGATAGTATTTATTTTAATTTATTATTTTAAAAATTGAAGAGAAATGCCCTCCTATGCTGAGTAGAGATTGGTTATCAGACTCTTTTTTCTTGGATGTATTTTATCAAGTCACTGTTTCTTTAAAAATAAAAACTCAACAACAATGATCAATGGTATTTTTCTTTACACTAGTTATTTTTACCTAAAATGGGTGTTGGACATCTTCATCATTGTGCCTTTGCATCATTATTTCAATCAGCTTGTAAATCAGCTGACAGCAGAGTAGCCTTTGAGTCACACTCAGCAGCTGGACTGGGAAAATGGCTTGAGTCCAATTGCATCCAGCTGTGGTCTATACCTAGGTTGTTGGTTTGCCCTGATTTGCCTTGGACAGTTCTAGTTTACACCTGTGGTTTTGCTGTAATTATAAACAATTACATTCATTCTCAAAAGTGTCTCTATTTGGATAATAAATTATATTGTCACCCCAGTTATACCTCACTAATAATACCAGGTGCTAAAGAGATTGTTTTTTTACTTTGTGTAAGATAAGAAATAAGTTTCTAAATGGAAACACCATGGCAAAATTTTCTGCAATAAATCAAGACTTGGTAATTCTTAATGTTCTGAGATTTTAATAAATTACTCTATATAGAAGCGATTTACTATAAACTGAGTAGGATAGGGTATTTTCATTACCAACCATCTTGATGTAAAACACTTATTTTTTTTACATCTTTGTGACCTTTTCTTAGTCTGACTGTGTACAGTCATATCCCAGAACATTGAATGTGTGCCATCTGCTTCCTCTGAAATTTAATGGCTAGGCTGAGGTTCACTGAGAGAAATTAAGAGGCTGTGACTTTTCTTTTGTCCAAGTCTTTGAAAGGAGCAATCCACATCCAACCTCATGTTCTTAAATCCTTTCATCTATGCACTGGATCTTGGAAGGAAACTCGGATGTTAATATGACCATTTGGTGGTTTCAGCATCAGTCTTGCTGCCCTAATCCTCTTTTCTGGAGTTAGCCTGGGAACCCACAAATCTCTAAAGTGCAGCCTTTCTCCATGCTTGCCTGGATCTTACAACCAAATTTCTGAGGCTTCTCAACTATTTCTACTAAATCTCAGCCTCTTTAGTGAATCTTCAAATACCTCTCACTTTCTCTTTCTTTCCCGTGTCTCTGATAATCGTCTTTATTCCTGTCCTTATATCCCAGGCTCTGGCAGAGTTTATTGCTTAATTCTGTGTAGTTATCTCAGTAACAATGGGCTGCCAGTTATACACATACACACACACACACACACACACACACACACACTCTCTCTCTCTCTCTCTCAAAGAGCAATAATTGCTTTAGGTTTAAATATATTTACTTAATTGTGGTCTAAAGTCAGTTTTTATTTTTCTCTTAACCTGATTTATCTCAAAGTAATTCACAGATAGATCTTAGTCTCTAAGGTAAGAATTAAATGACACAATATGTATAAAGCAACTAGCACAGTGTGTGGTACAATGTAAATATTCACCAGGACAAAAATATTATTGATAGTAGTAACAGTTTTTTCGTTTATGATAAGTGAATTTTCTAGGTCCAAATTTCAGGGCAACCCTTACTACAGCACTGGAATGAGAGAAGCATTCCATGGGATGGCTTCTTTAAAAAAATCATGTTTCCTATATAAAAGCACTAAGTCCAAAACCCCTCCAATAGCAAAACACTCCAGGTCATTGCTGTCCTATAGAAATTTCTGCAGTAATGAAACTGTTCTATATCTGGGCTCTCCAATATGGTAGCCAATGGCCACATGTGGCTATTGAACATGTTGTATGTGGCCTCTGTGGCTGAGGACCTGAATTTCTAATCTCAACCACCTTAAATTTAAATTTAATTGCATGTGATTAGCAGTTATAATATTAAAGAGCCCAGCTCTACAAAGATCATCTTGACTAATAGATGTTTATTAACAATATTGTCCCTTATTCTCTGCATACTTATTAGGTTGCATATTGCACTTTTATTATAACCATCTATTTGATTTTCCCCTTCAACGCTTCAGCACTCATTCATTTTAACCAGCTGCCTCCTGCATCAAATTCTTGGAGTAATTAGCATCTCAAAATGAAAGTTACCTTTGACCCTTCGTAACAGTTGTAAGATTATTCCCCTCTGGAGAAACTGATGACCTGTTTGCACAGCTCTTCGTTTAGTGGTTTCAATGTGAACTGTGAATGCTTGATACCTTGGCACACCAAAGGGATGCAAATACTGTGTCCAAGGGCGTCCTGCCAGGGTTGTGTGCGGGTCACCCTGACCCAGCCAGAAAGCTACAGATACCATGGCACATAACCTGGGTCCTTATTGAAGGAGTAGTTTTAAGAAATTAGCCAATCTTTTTATAATAGAGAGTTCTCACAAGGCTCAATGATAAATATTTATGCTTCTTGGGCCATCCGAATGGCAAACGACTTCCTTAACTTTGATAAATGCATTCCTCTGCTGTAATGATGAGAGTCACATGCTCTGTTGGAAAAGATCTAGCCAGCGAACAATGGATGCTAATACCAACATCCTGGAAATATTGATCCTCTTGAAGGCCCTGCCAAGGATAATAAATACCTTTTAAGTTTTGTATATTGATAGATTCTAATAAATATTTTTTTCCAAGAATCAGGAACAACATACATGTTTAAAGAACAAGATGGTCTAGTGTAGTCTTTTGTTAGAAAGTAGTATATTTGTGTTATAGATTCAAAATGATTTTTTAAAAATTTACTTGTTTCAGTAGTTATTTGTGTTTTATCTATAAGTCTCTTACATGATATATCACTGTCACAGGAAATATTTGTAATAATTACACAGGGAAAATCCACTAAATTTTCAGGTTTATTTAACTAAAAAAAAGCTGGTTGAGGACTTTAAAGAAAAGAATAAAGAAAACAAAATGCAAAATAAAAAAAAATCAGTTAAAATAAAAATAAAATACAGTACTCTTATGCCTAACCAAACATTTATAAATTGGAAAAACATTGAATTTTGTATATTCCAAGTTATTGGGCAACCAAGGTGGGAAAATGGCTTGAGACAAATATGTACTTCAGCAATTAGTAAATATTTCAGCTTCCTGGTATTTATTCCTACCTGGATGGTAAAGGAATCTGAAAGTTTGTTGTAGGTTATTAGACATACAGCAATTGTATACCAGTCACTGACATATATCCAATTATATACCCAATTAGATTGAGTACTCTAAAACTCTGAGATCACTATAGTAGATTAGATTATTACTTAGGAAATATTTACTCTCTCCTTACTTTCATTGGAAGAGCACACTGCTCACTCCATTGTTTTGGGGCTTGACTGGTGATAGCCAATGAAAAGCGATATTGTGCCAGTTCTGAGTCTAAGCTTTCTGAAGTGTCACATGTTTCCACTTATGACTCTCAACAGAAGTAAAACATGTGTCAGTTGACCACACTAAGACATATGGGAGAGACCTGCAGCCAACTTACAGACTGAAATACAACCACCCAGCTGAGCCCATACCAGCTGAGCCATATTCTACTTGCTGTTCTGTGAACATGAGAATATGTTCACTGTTTCATGTCACTGAGATTTTTCTGGTTGTTGTTTATGGTGGCAATAAGTTCCTGATACATTGGGGGTGAGTCACTTAAAATAGTATGCCTTTCTGTATCATATGCACTGCTCCAGATCTGTGCTCTTCACTTTCATCTGCTCCCCTTCACAAGTTCTACAGAGCTGCTCCTTCCAACTCCACGAATAGCCCTGCTCTGGCAGTTTCACTACCACATTGAAGGTTGTTAAAAATACAAATTCTCAGGGCTCCCCCAGACCCTGTAGGGGTGGGACTCAGGTGTCTATGTTTTTCACAAGTTCTGCAGGTAATTCAATACACACATTAGGTTGGCCACAGTTTGCCAGGACTGTTTTGATCTTAGCAGAGTCAATCCTAAGAAACTCCTTGGATGGTTGATCACTCTGTGAAAACCCATGCAGTAGCTTACTGTATTAGTCCATTTTCATGCTGTTGATAAAGACTTACCTGAGACTGGGCAATTTACAAAAGAAAGAGGTTTATTGGACTTACAGTTCCATGTGGCCAGAAAGACCTCACAAACTTTGCAGAAGGTGAAAGTCATGTCTCACATGGCAGCAGACAAGAGAAGAGCTGTGCAGGGAAACTCTCCTTTTTAAAACCATCAGATCTTGTGAGATTTATTCACTATCACAAGAACAGCATGAGAAAGACCCTGCCACCCCATGATTCAATTACCTCCCACTGGGTCCCTCCTACAACACATGTAAATTTAAGATGATATTTGGGTGGGGACACAGCCAAACCGTATCATTCTGCCCCAGGACTGTCCCAAATCTCATGTCCTCACATTTCAAATCCAATCATGTCTTTCCAACAGTCCCCCAAAATCTTAACTAATTTCAGGATTAACTCAAAAGTCCAGAGTCCAAAGTCTCATTTGAGACAAGGCAAGTTCTTTCTGCCTATGAGCCTATAAAATCAAAAGGAAGTGGTTACTTCCTAGATACAATGGGGGTACAGGCATTGGGCAAACACAGCCATTCCAAAGGGAGAAATTGGCCAAAACAAAGGGGCTACAGGCCTCATGCAAGTCTGAAATCCAGTGGGGCAGTCAAGTGTTAAAGCTCCAAAATGGTCTCCATTGACTCCATGTCTCGCATCCAGGTCATGCTGATGTAAGAGGTGGGTTCCCATGGTCTTGAGCTGTGCCCCTGTGGCTTTGCAGGGTACAGTCTCCCTCCTGGCTGCTTTCACTGGCTGGCATTGACTGTCTGTGGCTTTTCCAGGTGCACAGTGCAAGCTCTCACTGGATCTACCATTCTGAGGTCTAGAGGACAGTGGCCCTCCTCTCACAGCTCCACTAGGCAGTGCCCCAGTAGGGACTCTGCGTGAGGGTTCCAAACCCACGTTTTTCTTCTGCACTTCCCTAGCAGAGGTTCTCCATGGAGGCCCCGCCCCTGCAGCAAACTTCTGTGTGGGCATCCAGGCATTTCCATACATCTTCTGAAATCTAGGTGGAGGTTCCCAAATCTCAATTCTTGACTTCTGTGCACCTGCAGGCTCAATGCCACATGGAAGTTGCCAATGCTTGGGGCTTCCACCCTCTGAAGCAACAGGCCAAGCTGTACCTTGGCCTCTTTTAGTCATGGCTGGAGCGGCTGCGACATAGGGCACCAAGTCCCTAGACTGCACCCAGCAAAGGGACCTTGGGCCCAGCCCATGAAACCATTTTTTCCTCCAGGCCTGCGATGGGAGGGGTTGCTGCAAATGTCTCTGACATGCCCTGGAGACATTTTCCCCATTGTCTTGGTGATTAACATTCGGCTCCTTGTTACTTATGCAAATTTCTGCAGCCTGCTTGAATTTCTCCCCAGAAAATGGTATTTTCTTTTCCATTGTATTGCCAGGGTGCAAATTTTTTAACTTTTATGATCTGTTTCCCTTTTAAAACTGAATGCCTTTAACAGCACCCAAGTCACATCTTGAATGGTTTCCTGCTTAGAAATTTCTTCCATCAGATACCCTAAATCATCTCTCTCAAGTTCAATGTTCCACAAATCTCTAGGGCAGAGCAAAATGCCCCCAGTCTCTTTGCTGAAACATAGCAAGAGTCACCTTTGCTCTGGTTCCCAACAAGTTCTTCATCTCCATCTGAGACCATCTTAGCCTGGATTTCATTGTCCATGTAACTATTAGCCTTTTGGGCAAAGCCATTAAACAAGTGTCTAGAAAGTTCCAAACTTTCTCACATTTTCCTGTCTTCTACTGAGCCCTCCAGACTCTTCCCACCTCTGCCTGTTACCCAGTTCCAAAGTCGCTTCTATATTTTTGGGTATCTACAGTAGTGCCCTACTCTGCTGGTGCAAACTTACTGTATTAGTCCATTTTCATGCTGCTAATAAAGACATACCCAAGACAGGGCAATTTATGAAAGAAAGAGGTTTACTGGACTTAGAGTTCCACATGGCTGGGGAGGCCTCACAATCATGGCAGAAGGTGAAAGTCATGTCTCACATGGTGGCAGACAAGAGAAGAGCTTGTGCAGGGAAACTCCCCTTTTTAAAAACCATCAAATCACATGAGACTTATTCACTATCATGAGAACAGCATGAGAAAGACCAGTCCTCATGATTCAACTACCTCTCACTGGGTCGCTCTCACAACATGTGGAAATACAAGATGATATTTGGGTGGAGACACAGTCAAACCATATCACCTACAATGGTAGGACTTCTGCAGTCCTAGGAAGACACAGCTTTCCCAAAAACTTTATTCTGAAAATTGAAGTTGATATGTCTTGCCTTTGGCTATGACCAGACAGAAATTTCTCTCACTAAGTTGTATATCTTTACAGGAAGAGAAGATGTTGAGTGTTCCCAAGTGGTGTGTATTGTTTCATGATAAAAGCAGCCTTCTTAGATAGAAGGTAGCAAGGATTTGTAAGTTTCTAATAGAAGCTGTATGTGTACAGTATAAGTAGATGAGATTTTGAGATTCTTGCCTATGAGCCAGTCTTTGCACTGAGCATTAGAACAGGGGCTAGAGACAGTTTGGGGTCAGACAAACGTAATGAAGAGAAAACACTAAATACATATGTTTAATACTTAACAATTTCCCTACTCCAGCTCTTACTTTCCTACATACCTTTCTCCTTCTTCAGAAGCAAAATGTGGTCCCTTTGTTCCAATTTACTTAAGAAGCCGTAGAATTAACTTACGTTCTACTGCACATTGGGTATGTAATTCCCTATGTAGGTGAAGCTGCAGTACATTGTGATTTCAGGGTTCTTTCTTTTAGTTAACCTCTCTTACCCACAGTTGAAGCCCATCAGACTGTGAGGCCCATAGCAACCCAACCAGCTTTGAGTAGAATCCATCTAAAAGTTCACCTAGTGCCCTGAAGTTCTGCATATGTGCAAGACCCGCAGGAAGGCCAGGATCAAAGGGACCTGAGAGAGCCTCCACAGAGCTGCAGGAACATCGTGTAATTTACCCAAACCATCTGCAAGTGACATAAATGCCAGCCACTTAGAACACCTGCACCAGATGACTCAGCATCAAGCTGGGAAGCCAGTATGGGGTTGAAATAAAAGAAAACAAAAACTTCAGTGACTGGAGCAAAACAAATCATCACATTTTGGCACCAGCTGTACTGGAACAAAAAAGGAAAGAAACAAAATGATTTAGCAAATTTTAGTCCACTTCCAATCAGAGGGATCTGCCAGCTGGAAGTGTCAAAGTTTGCATTAGCGGGTGTGAATAAGGGAAAGGGTTAAAAGAAAAAGAAAAACTGTAAGAAAGATTAAAGCCAAGAAACCTCCAATAGTAGTTTCAGGATACCAGATAAAGAACAGCTGCTTAAGACACAATACGTTGATTATGACCTAGAAGGAATGGAGAAAGAGGGGCCCTTTGACAGTTAAGAGCAAGGGAGCAGGTGTGGACGTTACATGTGCCACGCCATAGTCAGCAAGCCCAGGAGGTTCTGTTGGGTTCTTCCTCTCAGCTATGAAGGAAGCCGTTTATTTAGACACAATCCTTCAAAAACTATCAGAAAGTCCCTCTGCAAACCCTGCCACCACAAAGAAGGCCTTCCATGCAATTTCAAGACATGAATATACCTTCAATAGGAAAAGAAAAACATGATTGCCTGTAAGCTATTCTAATGAGGCCGTTTCTGGAATTTCAATTACCCTGAGATGCCTCCTGTTTATGGCATTGACCTTGTATTTTCTTTGGTAGACAGGAGGGATGTGATGAATGGAGGGCACACCGCTTTGTGCCTCATCCACCAGATGAATGGCCACAGATATTCTTGGCATCTGAAGTGGCCCAGGTGGTCCCTCTGGCCTGATTTCCTTGGCCAGTTTTCCTTTCTCATCTGGGAATTTTGACCCTCCTGCTTTCCAACTAATTGTATCATATTATCTCCTTTTTGTTTAAGACTATTCTCTCAGCAAAAAGTTGCAAAAACTCAGATTTTTAGGATAGAAAGTCTCAATTAACCTCTGACCTTGCTTCAGTGCCTGCAGCCCGGGTTATTCCTTACACCTAATTGTGGGCCCATTAACAGGTTGTCTAAAAACAAAACAACACACACACACACAAAAACTGTTTTGACCAGGCTGTAATTGCTGCTAAGTGACACTTAACAATGGCTCTCTTGTACTATTGCTAACTGGACAGTGTGGGCTACTCTGACCAAGCCTAGACAGTGAAATTTACTTGTGATAAGGGCCTCCCTGTATCTCTTTAAGTGCTTTGTCCAGCAACTCCCTTGATTGAAGGGTGGTCATTTTTTGGATTGCCAGAACTGACAACGTGGCACAAAGCATGAAAGACAACTCCCACGGAGGACTACGAAGGCCTTCCTCCCCTCCTGCTGCAAATATAATTAGTTTATGTTAGCTGAAAAAGGTCAGAGGTTGTCAAAGGGTAGCAAAGTCTTTGTTTTTAGGCAAGATAGTGGAATAATTGCTTGATGCTCAGATCTGCAGGTGCTGTAAGGAGCTCATTTGGGCTTGGCAGCCTGCAGGGAAAGCTGATTTCCTCTGGAAAACCATGGAATTCCTCATGACAGAATCTATTTGCTGTGACAGTAGTGATTATGCATTCATGGCCTCAGCACAATACCTGCCACACTCTGCCCTCACCTTACCCCATTTTCACACACTCCAGGCATTGAGCCCCTTTCTTCTCTTTCTTTATGAGAACAGCGGAGGCATGAGCAGACAGACCAACCTGGTTGATTTCATGTGAGGGAATGTCTAGGGTGTCTTAGGAAGTGAAGAGAGAAAAATTTCATGGAGCAATTTATTCGAGATAAAGGAGAAATAAAAAAAATGAAAAGGAGAAAAAGATACATTGCCATGAAAAACAGAGTTAAATGTCACAGTAGGTTTTAAGTGAAAGAATAAAGAGTGAGGAATGAGGAAATTCTTTAAAAAGTGGGTTTGCTTCAAATATGCCCCATCTTTCCCCATGCTAATCACCTTCGTTTTGTTTTGCTTACCTGTCTCAAGACATAGGAGCACATTGCAATGAGATCCCCAATTAAAACGGATTGCAATATCTTTAAAAACCAAGGTAAGCTCTCTGCACTTATTCTGCAATGCACTCACTTTGGCTGAGGTGAAGTCCTTTTCCAGTTAGTCTGTGGATGTTTTACGTATATGACAAGGTCATGCATCCAGCCATCTGTTGAGAAAGCAAAGGAAAGTGATTCTAGAGCCAGATAAACCAGATACTCTTGTACTTGCTGGTTGTGTGAACTTGAGCAAGGCATTCAACTTCTTTATTATACAGTTGAATTTGAAGAAGTTCAACTGTGGAATGAGAATAATAATGCCTTATTATGTTTCTTGCCCAATTGATCTAAGGTTCAAATATTGCATCTCAAATTTCCCATTTTACCACCCAGTTTACATGGGATCAATCTAATGTGGGTTATGGATTTAGTGTTTTTCAAATCCTTGTTGCTGATGGCTGGGGCCAAGGTCACTTCCCTGATGGGAAACCTAAGCCCTGGGGGCTCTCATTAAACCCTAGACTGTGAAATTGAAAGGTTGGATTTGATAACTATCGTGCCCTTGAACAGTCCACATGACAAGATTTGCACTGTTGCTTTCTACTTTTCAGCTCTGTACTTTTACCTGGAATCTCTGTAAAGGTCCTCCAATTATTTGCAAACTGACATTTCTTTGGCCTCTGCATAAATTATTCAGAAAGTAGAATTTGGATTAATGTAGAATTTTAAACACGTATAAATGAGATGAGATCAATACCGAGGGCAGCACTCAAATTACCCATATCTTGACCAGTAAAATGGCTCACGTGACTAACTTAGACAGGCTTTTAGCTTTGTGGTGGCATTTATGAAAATAGAGAACACAGTTTCCTTTGATGTTTTAGGAAGCCATGCCTTTAATGTGTTTTGACACCTGTTTTTAGGGGTGTGCTCAAGTAATGTGCTGAAGAAATATTGGCTATAGAGAACAAGTCAGAAATCTAATTAACTGTGATGAAAAGGGTTTTTAGACCTTTTTTTCTGAACAAGTCAAATTCTTTTAATCTAAAGAAAAGCTTTTCAAAAAGAAAAGAAGGACGGAAGGAAATAGGAAGAAACATGAAAATAAGAAATAAAAAGAAGGAAGAAATTGATGGGTTATACCCAGTTGCCAAAAGAATCAATGTTAACATACCAGGACTCTAGAAAAGGGCCATGTGTATTTATGACTGAACAGATTTATAAAAGTAAATCAATGGACAAATAATCAAAACTATTGATCAGGGTCTATTTTCTACCCTGTTTCTACCAGATTTTTCAGGGTTACAAAACAAATATTCTTTATTAATAACTCATTTTCTGATGAGACAGTCAGTTATGAAACAACACCCGACAATGGAGATAAAAAAGTTAAAATGATGGAAGCAAACAGTGAGTGCCTTAACGTTTTGGACGGGAGAGAAGGCTGGAATAACTGCATATACAGTCATGGACACCTGACCTGAGCCTCAAGGGAAGGCTAGCATGTAGAATCCTAATAGGCAGGAAATCATAGAAAGAGAATGAGCAAGGGCCAGGAGGGGAGGAAGAACATGTGGTGGTAGATGAGCTGCATCAATGGCCCCACTCTCCTCCTCTCTCTTTGCCCCATAATGTGCAGCGCCCTCCCACTCTGGACAGCATTTTGTTCTATCCCCTGATTCTTGTTTTGCCCAATTATGAACAAATATGGTGTCAACAGAGTCTGGAAACTCCTGAAAAGTCCTTGAATGTGTCTTTTTTCTAATTTACTCTTCTAACTTTGGCATGAGAAAATGCTCAGTGGATGGGACAAGTAAGGCAGAGAAGAATTGTCCAAGTTTTCCAGCGGAGGTCCTAGACAAGCTGACAGAGTATCCCAGACATAGGAGACCCTAGCTAAGATCAGCAGAGCCCCCTAGCTCATCTGCAGCAGACTGCAGGTGCAGGAAGGGCCCACTCAAGACTTTAAGAGTCTCCCAGACAACCTGCAAATACATGATATGTTTAAGGCAATAAATGTCAGGGTGGTTTGTAATGAAACATCATTATGTCAACAAGTAACTGGTACATATGTCATGCATTCATTAATGTAGGATTCAATTTGGGGACAAATTTCTCCATTCTTTTTGTTGTAGATGTTTGGAAATCATCTTTTACAGAGGAGGAGCCTTCAGTGTGAGGAGAAAATAGTCATGGTTGTTCACACAAGAGTAAACAGAATTGATAAAAATATCATGAGTTCATTTACATCCAAGAGTGTCCCTGAAATAGCTAGAAGCTGAGGCAAATTGTTGTACGCACTTGAGTTATTCCAACTAAGTGCTTCAAGTAATCACATTTTAGGAAATTAACTAAGATATTTGAAGCATTAAATATTTGCTTTTTGCCATTGCACATTTTTATTTTGAAAGGCAGCCATACTTGTAAATCTTTTTATTGTGAGATATATAGCATTCATATATAACATATATATGTGATTTTTGAAAAAATAATAAAACATATCAACCAGATTACGGAAGATTACCAATGACTTTGAAGATTATCCCTCAATTATCCTCCCCACATGTAACACCATCAGCCGTTGTCTCTCCCCAGAGATCACCACTAACTTGTGTTTTGCATTCATCCACATTTTCTTTAAGACTATATGCTTATGACTCTCAAATTCTAAGACCAACGATGTTATCTTTCTCTCATATCTGCAATGCCATATTTCTAACTACATACAACTCCATATATATAGATGTCATGCTCAGTACCCTGCTGCTACTTCAGAAATAACATGTCTAAAAACAGACTTACCACTGCCCCCAAAGCACCAGCTTCCTTTCCGAAACATTTTAGGTCTGCCAAAGTCCACACCTTGTCCTAGAAGTCCATGCTGAAGGGGTCATGAGGTTGGACAAGGGAGGAGGCATGGAGAGGCTGGCACAAATCCTGCACTCATGCAGGAAAACACTTTGAGTCACTTATGGCCAACGGGTCAGTGGCAGCATGTTGGAATCATAAAGCTGATGCAGAAATAAAAAATTACAGGCAGTCCCCATATTTTCCCACTCATCATCTTACTAAATACTTTAATTTTTACTTATTCACCTGTTTATTTCATGAGTTCTATGAATATCTGCTTTGATTATTTCTATAAATATTGTACAGTTTCTATGAATAGTCAATATAATATCAGAAATTAAGATTTTTCACTTACAGCATAGTTCACAGTCTTTAAGACTATATATAATAAGAAAATATCTATTTGGAGAATACAAGAGTTTTAAATGACTATGGGCATTTTGGCCCTTAAATATGCATCCATCTATTCATGCAGTCAACAAATATTTGTATGTCTGTGCTCTATGCAAAGCAATATTGATAAAGTGGAAATACAAATAAAAAATACTGGCATTGCTTCAGGAAGGTCTGATAAGGAAGAGAAGTTTGCACACAGAAAAGCTCAACACAAGTAGGGACAAGATAATTTTCATATTATCAGGTTAGTTCTTATGCTCAGAAGCAAGTGAACTTGCTTTGGGTGATGGTAGCCAGAGAAGATTTGTGACTAAAATGAAATTTGACCTAAAATTGTTCCAAAGGTATAGATACAAATATAGAAAAGAAACACTCAAATTTTTAAAATGTATTTAAGGAAAGGCAAAAGTGTACAATTTATTCATTTTTCTATTCTAAAAATATCAATTGGGTGACAGAATGTTAATGATAAGAGAATACACCACTGCTTTCATATAGTTTATATTCTAAGAGATAAAAAATAACCAAACAAAATAATCTGAGAAAATGTTTTCTCAGAAAGTAACGAAATATGATGGCTTGATAGACTTCATCTTGAGGAGGGAGATGACAGTTGAAATAGAACAGTCAAGAAAGGCTATTTGAACAGATCACATTTAGACAGAAGCTAAATGATGAGAAACTGCTTTGTATAATTATAATGGAAAACATGCACCAACTTGTAGAGGATGTGAGGTTTCCACATAAAAGGACAGAAGAATACAATTACAAATTTTATTTAGGGGTCATATTATAGATAATAGTCAGGGTAACAATGCTGCTAGCAATAATATAGTGTCACCAAGTGCTATTTAGCACATTTTCAAATGCCTGTGTTAATTTGGCTAACTAGTTCATTCTCCTATTTGCTTGAGATTTTCTATTTTGAAATATCTTGTTTGCCTATATGAAGCCTATTTATTTTATAAATGTACAGAGTAGTATTTAGCAATGTAAACTCACTTATCTGGTTCTTGGTGATGAAGCAAGGTGCATCTAAGTTTGTAAAAGTGGTATATCTACTATAGCTTTTTATTTGTATTTATATTTTGAGTTGTTTCAGAACCCAAAGAGAAATTTCCTAAACCATAAGACGGGAAGATTAGTGATGGAAATAGAAATCAGAGAAGTATAATTGACCTAGGCATGACTACCTCCAGGGGTATAAACGGAAGGTACCAGAGCTCAGTCTCTTGTCATCTTTCAGCTCAGCGCTCATCTGCATTGACTTAGCTTTTGGAGAGAATTTCCCTATGTATTGACTGTGAGCTTCTTGTCTGGTAGCTTAAGAACTTTCATTTTCCAACAGTTTCTAGAGTTTTCCTGGATTGGATTTCAATTGACTGACAAAAGTCTTATGTCCATCATTGAATAACTCATTGTGTCCAAGGTAATAAAATACATTGCTGGGGCTAAGAATACAGAAGAGACATTTTGCATAAGAAAATCAAGATTCACTTGTACGATTTTGGTGAAATCTATTCTGAGTAGGTACACATAACAGCTATTGACTACAGCAATGGTTCTCAAACTGTTTTTCCTATACCAGGAGTGTCAGCATCATCTGTTGGAAATGAAAATTCTTGCTCTACCCTAGAAGCACTCAGTCAGAAACTCCAGTGATGGACCCAATAACTTAGGTCTTAGCAAGTCACTCATGTAATTCTAATCCACACAAAACTTTGAGAATCATTGTTTTACACCATCGTACTTAGAACAAAATACATAGCCCTTTCCATGATCTATAAAGGCATATATGAAATGGTCCTCTTCTACCTCTCAGACCTCATCCTGTATAATTTCCATCTTTCTCACTTTATCTTCTTTTTATTACTCAACATTCTCAGTAGCTGTCATCTCACAGCATTTGTGTGTGCTGTTCCCTCTGTCTAAAATGTTCTTCAGGTGGCTTGCTGTTCTCCTAACTATGGTATCCCTTCAAAAGCCATCTCTCAGAAGCCTGACTACACCAACATATCCCTCTCTTAGCCCATACACCTCTATTACATCTTATTACTTCTATTTTATATCATAATTTAATATTAGCTTATTCATTGGTATATGTATTCATTTAGACAAATATTAATATAGATAATTGATTTTTGGTTTCTCTCTTCAATATTCCTAGAATGTCACCACTGTGTGAGCAGGAGTACAGAGTTGGCATTTGACTGTAACAGCCTTAGTACTTAAAACCATTCCTGCGTAGAGAAGGTGCTCACTAAATATTTATAGGATGATTCACTAAATAATTCATTGAATGTACTATGGTGGTTCCTGCTGCTCCACCATCTCCACCAGTCATCAAACGAGGTAACAGAAAAGCTGAGTTATTAAGGATGGTAGGGGGCAGGATGTCCCAGAGAAAAGAAAGTGCTAAAACCACAAGCACAGTGTCTAGTGATTCAAATTGATGGGCCTCAATTTATCAAAAACCACACAAAAACTATCCTGGCTTTCCAGCCATGAAGACCACATCCTTTCAAAAGACTGTGCTAAAAGATAAAAGGGAGGAATTATCCCTTTCAGAAAATAAGGTAGAATGTTTAACTGAAGGTTTTCCTTCATTTTCAGTGCATTTTCATAGATTATAGGATACCACTAGCTTGGGAGAGAAGGATGGCAGGATAACTTATTTTAAACAATGTAAAAACTGAGGAATTTGATCCAAGATTCAAGTCAGAAGAATACTATACAAGGAAGTAACTAAAATGGAAGCTTAGGGATGTCGATAAATATTCCTATGTGGGTGAGAATAAATAGATTTCCAAATAAATGTTTGAAAATAACAAATTGTCTTAAAATAGTCTTCAAAATTAATTTATGCTAAGAACGCACAAATATTATGATGACCCTTTCAACTGTGGCATGTGCCTGTGTGTGGTTTCCTAGAAATAGTTTCAGCAGTCCTGGAAGAGTGACACAAGGTATCACTTGGCATCCAAAATTTACTTCACCATCCATTTGTCCTTGTAGATATTCCCACATTTTCGATATTACAGAAACCTAGGTGGTCAGTCATTGTTCTTAATTGTTTCAAATACATGTCACAACTCATTCTTGACTAACTCTTGAAGTGGAGTAAATGGATGAATAAAAATTCATCAACAAGCTTAAACCTTCCTTTCTCCATTAGTTTCAACATCCTCTTCAGAAAAATAATTTAGAAGTTTAATATACAAGTTGTCAAACTGAATTCCATAAACTTCAGCTTGGTGCATCCCTTTGGCTTAGTGAAAAAGCATCTATGATAACATTTTTAATTTGTTAGCACAGTAGATTTGGAGGATAAAACCTTATGAGACAGAAAGTTATGCTCTCTCATTTTATCTGCTTTATAGAAAGGAAACTGAGTTTATGCAACATCCAAACTTGTTTGAAGTTAGTAGCTAGGCTGTGACTAGAACCCAGGTGCCCTGCCCCATGTTTTACTGTCATTATTACAGAAAAGATTTATAAGCCACAAATTAGACAAAACTAAACAAAAACAACAAAACAAATCAACAAAAACCAACATTAAATGACAGTGGATTAACAGGAAACCAGGCAAAGCGAAGTTAGCCAATTTCAACCTGAGTTTAACTTACAACACAACAGGAAGGTAGAAAGTGTGGGCTCCAGATGAAGACAGCCAACATTTCAATTCTGGCTCAACCACCTGGACAGTTTTTCATCTCTGTGTGCCTCAGTTTCCTCATCTGGAAAATGGATTAATATTAATACCAACTTTACAGGCTTGTTATGAGGAAGTAATGACATAAGTGTTGAGAAAAAGAGCCCTGAACAAAGAAAGTGCACCAAAAGCATTTTGTTATTCGCTAAGTTTAGTGTAAAATTCCTATTTTACCAGTTGAGAATGAGAATTATTGAACAGAATGTTTTAATCATTTAGGTTTTCTCTTTTCTTTAGAGAGAGAGAGGGTCTCACCCTGTCATGCAGACTGAAGTGCAGTGGCATGATCATGGTTGATTGCAGCCTTGACTTCTGGGCTCAAGTGATCCTCCCACCTCAGCCTCCTGAGTAGTTGGGTCTGCAGGCATGTGCCACCATACCTAGACTTTTTTTTAGAGAAATAGGGATCTTCTATGTTGCCCAGGCTGGTCTCCAACTCCTGGGCTCAAATGATCTTCCAGCCATGGCCTCCCAAAATGCTGGGATTACAGGTGTGAACTGCCTCTTCAAGCCCAATAATTTAGTTTTAATCTTCACCAAGGACAGAAATAAATACCAAAGAAGCTATCCAACAGGTGATAGAATGTCCATCTGTTGCCCTAACCTGGAATTATAGCCATAAAATTTCAGTCTTCTACTGACTACAAGCAATGTTGCACCTTCAGTGATTTCATGGGAAGAAACCTTGCAGTTAAGAATCAGATAGGCTTGGATTTTCCAAATGAACAATATCAAAATGTAAATAGTCAAAATAATAAGGACATGAAATTCTGCTTATAACTAAAGAGGCTACAAACTTATGTGCATTCAAAGAAGTGTCTCTCTTCTTTGTAACATATCTTGCCGTTTCTTTCTGTCACACTTAAGAACTCACCCACTATTTCCATTTTTTGTGTGTGCGTATTACTGATTATTTTAAAAGGAATGCCAGGTACACATGTGGGAGATCTTTCTTATAATAAAATTGGATTGGAAAAGGCAAAACTATGAATGTTTAGCAAAAACAAACTTTGAAAGGAAACTCAACTTTTTTATTAATGTTTCCTTGGGCATTTTTCTAAAATCAGCCTTGTCTCTGCGTAATATTTTTCTTGGTTGGGTAGAGGCTGGTTAACATATTCATTATTTTTTTAATGTACTATGCTGCTATTTGCAGCTTCAGGTAGTTAATATTTGTGTTTAAGCTTTGCCGTTCAAATGGGAAAATCCACCCTAAACAGCATTGCTGAACAGCATGAAGGAATCCTTCGAAACAGGAGGTCCCCTTCCTGAATACCAATCAGTGTGGCTTTCCTCTGTGGCTGAGAGAGGAAGCACTGACCAATGTTTGCACTCCACCATGTCCTGCGTGTCACAAGCTTAATTTCTAACACTGGCCGCCTTGTCGGCAGAATTTCTGGATGGTAGAATGAATTGAACCTCTGAAGACGGACGGCGCTACTGTGTCTCTGGATGACGTCAACGTCTTCTGGGACAACAGCATGAAAAAGCGAAATATAATCAGAAGGAGCCTGGCTCAAGATTACCTCAGAGAGTGTGGGTGTGTAAATATGATAGGTCAGCCCTACAAGAAAAATCATTAATGTTTGCTAACATGCAAGGCTTGAGTTAATGGGCAAGTATGAGTAGAAGACAGCAAAAGAACTTTGAATAATAACTAAATAGGTTTTATTGACACCTCCAACTTCACATAAGCAAATTTAGATTCCAAAGATCATTTCCTAGCATCTACTGTATACCAAGTCCATATCTCCTAGGTTGTTTAATACTGAGAATGGATAGAAATTAATCAGGAGAATAGGAAGAGAAAAACTCAGCATCATAAATACTTTTTTTTGGTATACTTTTCCAAGATACAACAATTTATTCATTTTTTCCCAAATGTATGAATTAAGCATTTACAATGCCCCTACCAGGACAGACATGATCATGAGCCAGACAAAACTGGGACGTGAATTCAAGTTTTGTGCAATATCACATACTGTTTAATTTTTACTTCAATTAGTTCCTTCAATTATATTCTAGACACATTAATGTAATAAGTTATAATTCCTAACACTCATGTTATATTTAAAAGGATAAATATATGCCATATTTAGTTTCATGTTTTTTCTTATATGTTTTCTCTTTTTTTCTCTCATATGAAAAAGAAAGTAAATAACAATGTTATCCCTGTGTAATCTCCATGTGCAACCTCTCATTCTCTCCACAATTTTTTATTATTTTCCTTCAAGGACTCTGAGTTCACCAAGTGTGAGAATGGTTTCTGTCCTTCCCAGGAGAGAAAAGATGTAGTAAATTAAAAGATGAAAAATATAAGCTCAGTATCATAATGCTTGATGTGTGAGGAGGAGTAACTAGGAGTTTAGCAGATAAATGTGGGGAAAGTGAACAGGACAGAGATGGAGTTACTGTCAGGAGTCATTGGCCTCTTGCCAGTGAACCACTGAGATGACAGAGAGGAAGGGTGAATGTTGCTCTGTTGCCTTCTCCTACCATTTTGTTCCTTAACACATTTCCTTTCCCAACTTTGTCATTCTCTGTCCTATTCTGGAACATCTGTACTCAGTTTGGCTAGGCAACTTTATACAACATGGCATCGCTACTCATTCCAAAACTGTATGTATTCTCAACAAAGAAAAGTTGTAGCTTCCTCCATCTTGCCTTTCTTACAACCCAGAGTTTGTTGGTTGTTTGTTTGTATAATAGCCCATATGTTTCAAGGTTGAGAGAAAATCTTGATGGCATCTTTGCTTCCCTTCGCTGCATCTAGTTCATTAACCCTTCTCCCCAATAACAACAGCTATATCAATCAGACCATAAAATGCAGCTCTTGCATCCTGTGTTGTTTGGTTATATTATATTTCCCTTTCCCCACACTTATCTGCTGAACTCCTGGTTACTGCCTCTCGCACATCCAGCACTAGACTTAGATTTTTCATCGTTTCATTTATTACCAAAATGACTCAACACTCTCCTCTTCCCTGACTGCATTTCCTTTGCCTTCCCCTTTTACTAGCTTTACCTCAGCTCCCTACTCAAAACTGCCACTTCTTAGACCTTGTTATCTCATAAAATTGTTCTATCTGAAAACTTCAAGCACCCTCTTCCTGACTTCAACCCCCTCTTTTTCAATATTATGTTTTAAACTATTTTCACTATGAGTAACTTTTGGCTTCACAAGCCCCGCTTTTTCCATTCTCCCACAACTTCACTTGACTCATTAGCCAGTGGATACTTTAAAATGGCTTTACATCAATAACAGCCTTACTTATATCTAACATGGTCTTGCTTATCTGTCTTTCTGCACTTTCTTCATACATTCTAGCAATTCCCACATATAGTTTAAAACATCTTTTTGGTGTTCTACTTAAGCAATCAAATGTTGCTGGAGAAATCCACACAATAGAGCTGTTGGATTCCACTATCCAATGAAGTTAAATTATTGCGAATGTGCTCTTAATACTATTGGTGACTTGTAGATTGATTGCATTAAGGGTCTCAATTCCGTGTCCTTCGCTGTATTCATGTCCCCTTGCCACGTGACTTTGTTGTTTCTCCCACTGCAGAGAAGAATCTCCTTCCCCATTCTTTGATCCTGAATATGGGTATGTGATTTGGTTTGGCCAATAGAATTAGAATATTAGTAAATATAATGCATACATATGCTTGAAAATATGCTTGCACCTTCCCACTTCTGCTATTGCATCTCTGCCTTGACCATGACAACTTCTTGGACTGGCCTGCTAGAGATGAAAGGAGTCATTTATCTCAGGTAACCCAATGAAGCCAGCCTATTTCAGTGACAGCCAACCAGCCTCAAAATATGTGATAAATCTCAGACAACTCCAGAAGCATTATGAAGCTAATTCACAGAAACACAAATTAAAGAAAAGCCTAGTGTTTTGAGTCACTCACTTTGGGTTGGTTTGTTATGCAGCACTGCTGTAGCAATAGGCAGCTAATACAAAACTCCTGCCTGATTTCTCTGTTTTACTTCTGCTCTAATTCCCAATGCAATTTAATATTTTCACCCTCAAAAAATAGCCAAATGCTTTAGAGAGATAATGGAGGCCATATAATGCTAACTCCCTCAACTCACTTCTGTGAATTTGGCAAACTTTTCAGCATCCATCCACATTACCCTCTCCTTTGTCTCTCAAATGTCAGTAGAGAGCTAACTTTTGCTGTCCATGGAACCTACGCTTTAGGTCCAATTTCTTCTTACCATGATCCTTTCTATTTCATGTGTGTTCAGCCTTTCCTTTTTAACATGATATATTTTCCCCTCAACTGATTTCTACCTGGCCCTTAGCCCCTTCCTTCTATGTAAAAGAGTTACCTTGGGTTGCCAGTGACCCCTAGATTAAACGTTTTTCAATTCTCATTTTATTTTACCTGTAAGAATTACTTCGCACTATAGACTACTTGCTGATGCTTAAAATGCTCTTTTCTCTTTGTTTCCATGTCACAAGACTGTTTTGGTTTTCCCCCTACATCTTCGTTTACTTCTATTTTATCTTCACTTCAAATTTAATCTCATTAGTTGGCCAAGAAATGTTATTTCGCAAGGTTTGTTCCTACGCCCTCTTCTTATACTCTACAGTTAAGCAAAAAGATCCCATCTGGGCCAATGGCTTCAATTGTCACCTCACTACAGACGACTCATGAATTAGTGTCTCTATCACAGACTGCCTGTGAGCCCCAAACCCATCCATTCATCTGCCTCTTTGATATCACCGTTTGGATATCACTAAAGCACCTCATATTTAGTAGTTTCAAAATAAAGTTAATTGTCCTCCTCTCCAACAAATTGACTCTACCCTCAGTGTTTTCTATTGCAGGGAATGACACTATCATCTATATGCTACAAAACCCAAAAATCTAGGAGTTATCCTTTATAACCTTCTATCAAATACAGCCAGCTGCATGCCCTGTGGATTTTATCTTTTCACATTACTCAAAGCTGACTATTCTCTCTCACTTTAAGGCCATTAACTTATTGCAGGCTAATGTCATTTTTTTTTAAGTTTACTGCCTTACAGTAACCTCACTGCCACCACAGTACACTTGAAATTTCCAAAAATTGCCCTCCTTTTTTTTCCTCTCTTACAAACACACATAGAGACATACACAAACTGGCATACTTAAAACATATCTAAGTCTTCATTTCACATGGGATAAAGACCAAAACTCTTATGATGACCTGCATGATTGGTCACTTCCAATTTTTACAGCCTAATTTCACACATGTATGCCCCTCTCTGCTGCTTTGCCACTCTGACAATTTCTTCAGTCTCTTGAACTTCCCATGCACCCTTTTGTCATAAGCCAGGTCTTCTGATGATTTCATCAGCTACATTCCCCAGGCACTTGCTCTGTCTCTGGGCAGAGGCATCGCCTCTTACATACCACAGAACCTTCTAGAAGTTGACCACTGATCTGAACTATTCTATGCTTCCTGGTGCAGCAACTTCTTCCCATCATATGCCTTACCTCCTCCAGTTCTCTTAGTTTCTTAGTTTCTATACACAGCCAGAGTGTACCATTAAAATATTTGGCACATATTTAAAATCATGAAATATTTTAACTTGTCTCTATTTTTATTTATAAGCCCCTGGATCATTCCTACAGAAATGAACACATAGGACTTTCAAAGAAACCCTTCACACAATCTTTTCTTTTAGTCTTGATACATTCTACAGTGTCAGGGGCTGTATCTATCTTGATCACTGATGCCTTCTCAGCCCCTAGAGCAGTGCCTGGTAGAGTAAGGACAAGTAAACATTTGTTGAATGAAAAAGAAAAGAAAGGATGAGGGAGAAAAGAAGAGAGGAAAGAAGGAAAAAAGAAACTCACATAGAATAAATACAATATTGTGATTTCAGGCTCCAGAATTCAATGCTCAATAAACATGAATTAATTCTGCCCATTCGGTTTATAATTACCAAAATAATCTATCCATAAAGAGGAGTGAAATCTGCCTGACCTATACACCCAGCCCTTCTTATTGTGATGTCTATTATTTCATTTAAGAAGAGTATAGATGTATGTTTCATTTAAGAAGAGTGTAGATGCATGTTTTTGATGTAGCACTGGCAAGACAGAGTCTGAACTGGCCTCATAAATCTCCAGGAAACGAGGGTGGGTACAAACCTTCAAAGACTGTCTTGGGCTGTGCAGCATGTCCCAACAGCTCCCATCCAGTGCCGCAGCCACTTTGGAATGTAGCTGACCTCATGGAAATGGTTCTGTACCTACATGCTGAGAGTTTCTCCCTTGACCTTTCACTTTCCCTCTCTTTTGATCACTCATGTCACCTTTACATTTTGGCATGCAGTATATTTCTGTGTCTTGGCCTGATTCAACAAATATCTAATTTGTTGCCATGGTTGTGTTTTGGTTGTAGTTCATTGTCAACATTCTGAGAGGTGAGGTCGAGAAATCCCGACAAGTTCTTTTGCTCTTCCTTGGTCATGAGATTTTGTGTTTTTGTTGTTCTCTACAGAGTGATGATTTCCAATTAATGCTTCTGACATAATCCAGTTCAACAATTCAACAGATATATACTTTGGTGGGAATGAGAGAGAAGAAATTCTGCCAGCTACATCAGAAGCTAAGTCAGAGCTCTGAGAAGAAGGTCTAGAGAAAGAGAAAGGGGCATACCAGAAAGGCAAGGGGATTGTTTACACCATATTACTCCAGTTCAGAGGTCATCTGTCCCAGGCTTGGCTCAATCAAATACACAAACCAAAAAAAGTACATGTTCATTTTTACATTTCCTCAAATTGTATTCCCTAGTTTATAATAGGAATATATTTTGAAGAAGTATATGTATACACAGTGCATACAGTCTATATACACACGTGTGTGTGTGTGTGTGTGTGTGTGTGTGTGTGTGTGTGTATCTGATTCTGTGAGTCTCTCCACCTGGCCAGCACTCTCCTGTAATACTTTTCTTTAGAGAATTTAGGAGATTCTGACCTGAAAGGGGTTATTTGAATGATGACAAAATGGTGTGTCATCTCTCCCATTCTACTGACTGGGATGGGCCTTGGCTTCTGTCCAACAGACCTGGTTTCTAATTCCCATCTTTACTACTAGATGACTCTAGGGATCTAGGCAAGGAAGATTATGCAACATCTCTAAGTCTCTGTCTTATCATGACTTAAAATGATCTAATGATAAAAATCAACCTCCCAGAGCTTTTGTAAGATCTAATGCCTAAGGTGCCTAGACAATAGGAAGTTCTTAAGGGCGCTGGATTCTTTCCCGCCCTTCCTGTGGAACATAAGACTTATAGCATCTTATAAAGTGGCATGATTTTTACCCTGATTCAGGAAGAATTACTCATCTAAACAGAGAAATCTGGCCTTCTATAATACATACTAATTTAATCCTTCTTCCAGTAGAAAACTCTGATCCCCAAATTAACTCTTTTAATTATTTTGAAATGCCATTTGATTGTACTCTATTTAGTACCCATAATCATAAGGAGCTTAAGGTAACATGAAAACAGTACACATATTAAAATGTACAGAACTCTAATTGAATTGTAGAACATCCTAGTGTGTGCATGCGCACAGTCCTGTGAAAGATACTATGAGTAAGGTCAACACAATGTTCCTGCTTTTCAAAAACCTTATTCATTCATTAACGTTTACCACGCTTGAAGCATTGAATTAGGATTCAGTGACACATTGGTAACACAACAAGGTCCTTGCTTTTATAAACTTATAATATAAAGGAGTGAATAGATATTAATCAGGTAATTACACCAATGTATAGTATGATGATGTTCCACTGCTATGTGTTCAAAGCTTGGAACCATGTGTGGTGCAAGAATTCAATAAATATTTCCTGAATAAGTTATCTAATTAATAGTTGCATGTTGACTGAAGTTGAGATCAGTATTCAAAGAGACAGAAATCTTGATCTTTGATTTAAAGGGTAGAACAAAGGAACTCAACTCACACTGAGATCTGAAAGATGATTAACAAGTAACCAAGAAACTGCTTCTGAGAATGTATATTATAGAAAGGGAGGGTGTTAGGGTTCTCTAGAGAAATAGAACCAACCAATAGTTCTCCAGAGAAATAGAACTAGATATAGATAGATAGATGATAGATAGATAGAGAGATAGATAGATAGATAGATAGATAGATAGATAGATAGATAGATGATAGATAGATAGATAGATGGATAGGTAGATAATACAGAGTCAAAATGGTGATGATTTGGGAAGACAGAAGGGAGACAAGTAAACAACAGCTGACATTTACTACATGCTAGGCAAAGTTTTAAAACTGTGTAAGCATTAGCTCAATTAATCCTTGCCACAACTCTATGAAGGTTCTCTCATTATTTCTATTTTACAGGTAAGAAAATGAAAGTGCAGAGAGGTTAAGAGAGCCACACAGTAAGCAGCCAAGGCAGATTCTAAACCCAGGCAGTGACTCTAGGCCCACAGGCTCAATAAGGACCTAATACTGACTTTTGAGAACACAAGTAACAATCTCTCAAAGAAAAATGATTCTCAATTTATTAAGTGAGTGCAAGGAAGGAGGAGTCCTCTGATTAGGTCCAAGGATGTTAATGAATGACTTCACGAGTGAGACAATCTTTAATATAGGTCTTGGAGTATGAATCAAGTTTTGACTGGCTTGTACAGTGGAAGAGAAAGGTGTTATAGGTAGGAGAAAACTAGAGAATAAAAGACATAGGAAAATATTGAAAATCTAGAAGTGGGAAATCCTGGGGAGGATGTTGGTAAAAGAAAAAAAAATGACAAAAAAATTTTAAAAGGTAGGCTAAAAATTAACAAGTGCCAGTCTGACAATTCATCATTAATTTGTTATAAATTAATTAATTAATAGAATACAGGGTAGTTATTGCATTGCATATTTCTGAAAGGAATATATTATGTCTATATCAGGATATATTCCCACAGCAAATAATTAGAGAAAGCATCTTAGTTCATTTGAGCTACTATAACAAAAATATCATACAGTGGGTAGCTTAAATGACAAACATTTATTGCTTATAGTTCTGGAGCTGCGAAGTCCAAAGTCAAGGCACTGGAAGTTTTGGCAACTTGTTTGGGCCACATTTCTGGTTCATAGATGGTGCCTTGTTGTTGTGTCCTACATGGCAGAAAGGGGAAATATAACTTTCTGGGAGCTCTCCTTTTTTATTTTTCCCAAAGTCCAAAACTTTATTTTTTGCTAAGAAGTCTTCAAATATTGTGGAGAATCAAGTTATCTGAGTTCAGTTGAATATTAATGTATATATCTGAGGTTTTAGTCATGTTTCAAAATTTCACTTTTTCTCTTTCTTAGTACAGTGTCTTACTGATCAAGAGAATCAGAAGCGCAGAACATCACATTTCTATGTTATCACACTGTTGACAAAATTCTTTCCCAAAGGTATTCAAAAAGGAAGAAATCAAGTATTCACTTTCAGTTCTGCAACTGGAGTAGATGATGATTGATCACTGGTGATTGATAACCTTAAGTCTAATACTCATTAGTTCACCAATTCAGTTACTCATTTCATGAAGTAGAGAATTTCATAGCATACATTCTTATTCCAAATATATCCCTTATAATATTTTCTTTCAATTTTTAAAGACTCATAGATATGTATACCAATTTAATAAATGTTTTTCTAATCAAATGCATTGTATTAATTCGACCAAAAAAGTTTAAATTTTTATTTTTGTAATTTATCTCAGGTAACCTGTGAAATGTTTCTCCTCTTTCTTTCCTACTTAAGGATAAATGACAGAGTTTTTTTTCTTAGCCTTATACTGAAGCACCTCTGAAAATAAAACAATAGGGAATTATGCAACATTCAGAAGTATCACTCAGCTTTTTACTGAATGACTTGCTTTATTGGCTCAGTCAAAAACATATGGACAAATAGTGGCTATATTTTGTTTTTTGCTGTTCTTTTCCCGGAGCTCCCTCTTCTACTTTTTAAATTGATATATAATATTTTAAACATTGATGGGATACATTTGATATTATTTTATATGCACAGAATGTGTAATGATAAAGTTAGAGTATTTGGAGTGTCCATCACCTCAAGTATTTATCATTTCTGTGTTTTGAGACCATTTAAAGTCTTCTCTTTTAGCTCTTTTGAAATATGTATTGTCACTAACTATGGTTACCCTACTCTGTTAAGGAACATTTGAATATATACCTTTTATTTGACTACATGTTTTCACCCATTGACCAATCTCTTTTTATCCCCACCTCCCACCCACACACTCATCCCAGATGCTGGTATCTATTATTCTATTTCTACCTCCATGAGATCAACTTTCTTAGCTCCCACATATGAGTGACATCATGAAAAAATTGTCTTTCTGCATCTGGCTTATTTTGCTTGACATAATGAGTTCTAGTTCCATTCATGTTGCTGTGCATGACATGATTTTATTATTTTTCATGGGCAATACTATTGCATCATGTATATATACTTTATTTTTACCTATTCACCTGTTGATGAACACTTAGGTTAATTCCATATCTTTGCTATCGTTGAGTAGTGCTACAGTAAATACGAAAGTACAGGTATGCCTTTGATATACTCATATCTTTTCCTTTGAATAAATACCTAGTAGTGAGATTACTGGATCATATGGTAGTTCTACTTTTAGTTCTTTGAGAAATCTGCATACTGTTGTCCATAATGGCTGTACTAATTTATATACCCACAAATAGTGTATAAGATTTCCCTTTTCTCTGCATCCTTGCCAGCATCTATTATTATTTTTTCTTTTTTATAATGGCCATTCTAATTTGGGAAAGAAGGTATTTCATTTTAGCTTTGATTTGCATTTCCCAAATAATTAGTAATGTCGGCCATTTGTATGTATTATTTTGAGAAATGTCTATTCATGTATTTTGCCCACATTTTAATGGGACTATTTGTATATTTTGTTGTTGTTATTGTTGTTGAGTTCCTTGTACACTCTGGATATTAGCCCTTTGTCAGATAAATAGTTTGTAAATATTTTATCCCATTCATCAGGTTGTCTCTTCACTCTGTTGACTGTTTCTCTTGCTGTGTGGAAGCTTTTCAGTTTAATGCAATCCCATTTGTCTATTTTTTGAAGTTTTTTTTTTTTTTTTTTTTTTTTGCCTAGACCAACATCCTGAAGTGTTTTCACTATGTTTTCTTCTACTAGTTTTATAGTTTTGGGTTTTTCATTTAATTCTGTAATCTATTGTGAGTTAATTTTTTATAGTTACAGATAGGTTTATAATTTCATTCTTCTGTATATAAATATCCAATTTTCCCAGGATCATTTATTGAAGAAAGCATCTTTTCCCCAATGTATGTTTTTGGCATTTTTGTCAAAAATACATTGTCTATAAACAGGCAGATTTATTTCTGGATTCTCAATTTTGTTCCATTGGTTTTTGTCTGTTTTTAATACCACTATCATGATGTTCTGCTTACTACAACCTTGTAATATATTTTGTAGTTAGGTAGTATGATGCCTCCAGCTTTGTTCTTTTTGCTTAGGATCTCTTTGGCTATTCAGTCTCCTTTTGGGTTCCATACAAATTTTTTTAAATCTATTTCTGTTAAAAATGACATTGGTGTTTTGATAGGAATTACCTTGAATTTGCAGACTGCTTTGGGCAGCATAGTCATTTTAACAACATTAGGTTTCTTCTGATCCTTGTGCATGGAATGCCTTTCCATTTGTATGTGTCCTCTTCAATTTCTTTCACCCATGCTTTACAGTTTTCCTTGTAGAGATCTTTCACTTCCTTTGTTAAATATATTCCTAGGTATTTCTTACCTATTACAAATGAGATTACCCTCTTGATTTCTTTTTTAGCTAGTTCATTATTGACATACATAAAGCCCCTGATTTTTATATTTGATATTGTATCCTGGTTTGATTAATTTATGACATCTAAAAGACTTTTGGTGGACTCTACATTTTTTTAGATAGAAGATTATATCAACAGCAAAGAAGGAACATTTTACTTCCTCTTTTTCAATTTGGATGTCTTTCATGTCGTTCTCTTGCCTGATTGTTCTGGCTTGGATGCCCAGAACTATTTTGAATACGAGTGATAAAAGTGGGCATCCTGTTCTCATTTGTCCTTGCGATAGTTTGCTGAGAATGATGATTTCCAGCTTCATCCGTGTCCCTACAAAGGACATGAACTCATTTTTTATGGCTGCATAGTATTCCATGGTGTATATGTGCCACATTTTCTTAATCCAGTCTATCATTGTTGGACATTTGGGTTGGTTCCAAGTCTTTGCTATTGTGAATAGTGCTGCAATAAACATACGTGTGCATGTGTCTTTATAGCAGCATGATTTATAATCCTTTGGGTATATACCCAGTAATGGGATGGCTGGGTCAAATGGTATTTCTAGTTCTAGATCCCTGAGGAATCGCCCCACCGACTTCCACAATGGTTGAACTAGTTTACAGTCTCACCAACAGTGTAAAACTGTTCCTATTTCTCCACATCCTCTCCAGCACCTGTTGTTTCCTGACTTTTTAATGATCGTCATTTTAACTGGTGTGAGATGGACATGGACACAGGAAGGGGAACATCACACACTGGGGACTGTTGTGGGGTTGGGGGAGGGGGGAGGGATAGCATTAGGAGATATACCTAATGCTAAATGACGAGTTAATGGGTGCATCACAGCAGCATGGCACATGTATACATATGTAACAAATCTGCACGTTGTGCACATATACCCTAAAACTTAAAGTATAATAGTAATAATAATAATAATAATAATAATAATAATAAGTGGGCATCCTTTTCTTGTTCCAGTTCTTAGAGGAAAGACTTTCAGCTTTTCCCTGTTCAGTATGATGTTAGCTGTGGGTTTGTTATATATGGTCTTTATTATGTTGAGGTATGTTCCTTCTTTGCCTAGCTTGTTGACAGTATTTATCATGAAAGGATATTGAATTTTATCAAATGCTTTTTCTTCAGCTATTGAGGTTTTGTTCTTCATTCTGTTGCTGTGATATATCACATTTACTGATTCATGTATCAATCCTTGCATCCTTGGGATAAATTCCACTTGACCATGGTGTATTATTTTTGTAATATGCTTTTGGATTTTGTTTGCCAGCAAGTTGTTGGGAATTTTTGCATCTGTCTTCATCAGGGATATTGGCTGGTAGTTTTTTTGTTTGTTTTTGTTTCATCCTTGTCTGGTTTTTGTACCCAGGTAATTCTGGCCTCATAGAATGAATCAGGGAGAATTCCTTCCTCTTCACTTTTCTGGAATAGTTTGGGAAGAAGTGGTATTATTTCTTCTTTGAAAGTTTGGTAGAATTCAGCAATGAAGCCATCCAGTCCTGGACTTTTCTCTATTGGGAGACTTTTATTGCTGATTCAGTTTTACTGGGCTAAGTGTGCCTGTCCTTGAGCCCCAGGGCAGTGTATGTTGGCACTGGTATTACTGAATCCAGGTAGGCTAATTCTCGGGCCTCCTGGTGGCTTACTTTAGTGCCAAGAATGGCACCAGTGGGTTGAGTGGAGTGGCAGGTTCTCAAGCCCTTGACAGTGGATGTAGCATGGGCAATGACAGTAGCAGTGGTAGGACAACCCTCTGGGATCAGAGAGGTCTGCACTGGTATTAGTGGTGGCTGCACTGGGTTGGGGAGGTCAGTTCCCAAACTCACAGTTGGTGCATGTGGGTGGGTGCCAGCTATGGTGATAGCAGCAGGTTGAGTGGGCCCCAGCTCATATGGGCTGTCTTTTATAATGTCACTAATTCTATTCATGCGAGCTCCACCCTTATGAGCTAGTCACCTCTTAAAGACCTCGCCTCCTAATATCACATGTGGGGTTTAGGATATCAACCTGTGACTTTTCGGGGAACAGAATTATTCAGTTTATACAGAACAGGAAGAGACTTGTGATAAGGGGAACAGGTAGGAAAGTTTTGTATTAGTTGAGTGAGAGGCAACAAGGCCTTGAATAATGTACCAGTAGTGGGGAAGAGGGGGAGGCCATTCAATTTGGAGACATGGAAGCAACAAAATTTATACCTTCCAACAATCAGCTTGTTGTAAGGGAAGAGAAGATGGTAGAAGTGGATTCAGGTTTTGTGATTATTAAAAGATTAGCAATAAAAGGGAAAAAATAAATTAGGACAGGTGTTTAGGTACATAAAATGTTATAGAAGACAGTATTTTGGGTAAGTAAATTTTTAATAGTTATTATTTATAAGATTTAATTTTAAGTCATTTTAACTCAATGAATTATAGTAGTGATCGTTTTAAAGAAAAATTATTGGAAACGTTACTGTTTATGTTTTGTTGAGTTTATGGTATTTCCAGGAAAAGAGAGCTATTCTTACCTCCAGTTTACAAATGGGCCAAAATAAAGCATAAAGTGAAGGGTTAGCCAGCAAACCAAATATAAAAGCATATACTGTTAAATAAATAACAGCTCTTATATTATTTTAGCATTTCTCTGTCCTTGTGCATCCCCTTTGTGACTGACACCCGATGTGTGTGCAGTCTGGTGGGCCTGAGCCCTTAACTTGTGGGTGTGGGGTTTATGTTATCTCTGGATGGTTAGCGTCAGAATTGCATTGAATTGTTGGATATTCCGTGAATGTCAATGCAAGTGAAAAATTGTAGTACTGGAATCATAGTGGCCCATCCAGTATTTTTTGGGCACTAAAGTTTAAGGTCACCTTCTTTCTTCCATCCTTTTTATTCTGCCTTATTCTCCTTTTCCAGGTTAAATATTCA